>NC_000005.10:99200716-99503746 GCF_000001405.40 Homo sapiens | reverse complement strand
GGTACATGTGCACAACGTGCAGGTTTGTTACATATGTATACCTGTGCCATGTTGGTGTGCTGCACCCATTAACTCGTCATTTACATTAGGTATATCTCCTAATGCTAACCCTCCCTCCTCCCCGCATCCCACGACAGGCCCCGGTGTGTCATGTTCCACTTCCTGTGACCATGTGTTCTCATTGTTCAATTCCCACCTATGAGTGAGAACATGCGGTGTTTGGTTTTCTGTTGTTGCGATAGTTTGCTGATAATGATGGTTTTCAGCTTCATCCATGTCCCTACAAACGACATGAACTCATCGTTTTTTATGGCTGCATAGTATTCCATGGTGTATATGTGTCACATTTTCTTAATCCATTCTATCATTGATGGATATTTCGGTTGGTTCCAAGTCTTTGTTATTGCAAATAGTGCCACAATAAACATATGTGTGCATGTGTCTTTATAGCAGCATGATTTATAATCCTTTGGGTATATAACCAGTAATGGGATGGCTGGATCAAATGGTATTTCTAGTTCTAGATCCTTGAAGAATCGCCACACTGACTTCCACAATGGTTGAACTAGTTTACAGTCCCAACAACAGTGTAAAAGTGTTCCTATTTCTCCACATCCTCTCCAGCACTTGTTGTTTCCTGACTTTTTAATGATCTTCATTCTAACTGGTGTGAGATGGTATCTCATTGTGGTTTTGATTTGCATTTCTCTGATGGCCAGTGATGATGAGCATTTTTTCATGTGTCGGCTGCACAAATGTCTTCTTTTGAGAAGCGTCTGTTCATATCCTTCACCCACTTTTTCATGGGGTTTTTTTTCTTGTAAATTTGTTTGAGTTCTTTGTAGGTTTTGGATATTAGCCCTGTCAGATGGGTAGGTTGCAAAAATTTCCTCCCATTCTGTAGGTTGCCTGTTCACTCTAATGATAGTTTCTTTTGCTGTGCTGAAGCTCTTGAGTTTAATTAGATCCCATTTGTCAATTTTGGCTTTTGTTGCCATTGCTTTTGGTGTTTCAGACATGAAGTCCTCGCCCGTGCCTATGTCCTGAATGGTATTGCTTAGGTTTTCTTCTAGGGTTTTTATGGTTTTAGGTCTAACATTTAAATCTTTGATCCTTCTTGAATTAATTTTTGTATAAGGTATAAGAAAAGGATCCGGTTTCAGCTTTCTACATATGGCTAGCCAGTTTTCCCAGCATCATTTATTAAATAGGGAATCCTTTCCCCATTTCTTGTTTTTGTCAGGTTTGTCAAAGATCAGATGGTTGTAGATGTGTGGTATTATTTCTGAGGCCTCTGTTCTGTTCCATTGGTCTATATCTCTGTTTTGGTACCAGTACCATGCTGTTTTGGTTACTGTAGCCTTGTAGTATAGTTTGAAGTCAGGTAGCGTGATTCCTCCAGCTTTGTTCTTTTGGCTTAGGATCGTCTTGGTGATGTGGGCTCTTTTTTGGTTCCATATGAACTTTAAAGTAGTTTTTTCCAATTCTGTGAAGAAAGTCATTGGTAGTTTGATGGGGATGGCATTGAATCTATAAACTACCTTGGGCAGTATGGCCATTTTCATGATATTGATTCTTCCTATCCATGAGCATGGAATGTTCTTCCATTTCTTTGTGTCCTTTTTCATTTCGTTGAGCAGTGGTTTGTAGTCCTCCTTGAAGAGGTCCTTCACATACCTTGTAAGTTGCATTCCTAGGTATTTTATTCTCTTTGTAGCAACTGTGAATGGGAGTTCACTCATGATTTGGCTCTCTGTTTGTCTGTTATTGGTGTATAAGAATGCTTGTGATTTTTGCACAATGATTTTGTATCCTGAGACTTTGCTGAAGTTGCTTATCAGCTTAAAGAGTTTTGGGGCTGAGACAATGGGGTCTTCTAAATATACAATCATGTCATCTGCAAACAGGGACAATTTGAATTCCTCTTTTTCTAATTGAATATCCTCTATTTCTTTCTCCTGCCTGATTGCCTGGCCAGAACTTCCAACACTATGTTGAATAGGAGTGGTGAGAGAGGGCATCCCTGTCTTGTGCCAGTTTTCAAAGGGAATGCTTCCAGTTTTTGCCCATTCAGTATGATATTGGCTGTGGTTTGTCCTAGATAGCTCTTATTATTTTGAGATATGTCCCATCAATACCTAATTTATTGAGAGTTTTTAGCATGAAGGGCTGTTGAATTTTGTCAAAGGCCTTTTCTGCATCTACTGAGATAATCAAGTGGTTTTTGTCTTTGGTTCTGTTTATATGCTGGATTACATTTACTGATTTGCGTATGTTGAGCCAGCCTTGCATCCCAGGGATGAACCCCACTTGATCATGGTGGATAAACTTTTTGATGTGCTGCTGCATTTGGTTTGCCAGTATTTTATTGAGGATTTTGGCAGAGACACAACAAAAAAAGAGAATTTTAGACCAATATCCCTAATGAACATCGATGGAAAAGTTTTTCTTTAAGAAGATGCCAGGTAATAAAGGCAGATGAAATAACAGAATAGGAAAATCACCAATTTGTAGCCCTCGGTGACATAACCGATTCAGGAAGAAATCATCAATGGACACTAAGCTCATTAAGTGAAAGAATGATGAGTATCTGGATAGTTACATAGTACCAAACTATCTCTCTACGAAGTTCTTACCTATCTCAAGTATAAAATATTAACTTTACAATGAAGGAATCAGACGTCACTACCTTAATCCAGGGATTTACCTTAATTTCTAGTCACTAACAGTGAAACAACTAGACAATACATGCCATCAAGTGATACAATATAATTCTGAGAAAGCCTTTGATATTCCACAGGAAATATTGGAGAGGAGGTAAAGAAACAAGTTAAGTCAGGAGTCCCCAAAGCCCAGGCCATGGACTGGTATCATTCTATGGCCTGTTAGGAAGCAGGTGCACAGCAGGTGTTGGGAGGGTGGGCAAGCATTATCACCTGAGCTCCGGCTCCTGTCAGATCAACAATGGCATTCAATTCTCGTAGGAGTACGAACCCTATTGTGAAATGCACATGCGAGGGATCTCTAGGTTGCACAATCCATATTAGAATCTAATGCCTGATGATCTGAGATAGAACAGTTTCATCCGGAAACCATCCCACCACCCCGACCTCCACGCTACCCCTAGTCCATGGAAAAATTGTCTTCCACAAAACCAGGCACTGGTGCAAAAAAGATTGGGGACCACTGAGTTAAATGATACCAAAAGAAAGCAATATGCCAAAAGATCAGATATGGTCAAAAACAGAAAAGAGAGTGGCTTATGGGCCAGGCGCGGTGGCTCATGCCTGTAATCCCAGCACTTTGGGAAGACGAGGCAGGTGGATTACTTGAGATCAGGAGTTTGAGACCACCCTGGACTACATGGTGAAACCCCATCTCTACCAAAAAAATACAAAAATTATCCAGGCATGGTGGTGCACATCCATATAGTCCCAGCTATTTGAGAGGCTGAGGTGGGAGGATGTCTTGAGCCCAGGAAGCAGAGGTTGCAGTGAGCCAAGATCTCGCCACTGCACTCCAGCCTGGGCAACAGAGCCAGAGCCTGTCACAAAAAAAAAAAAAAAAAAAAAAAAAAGAGAAAGGCTGGCTCATTGTAGCAACATGGAAGGCCCTTTCTAACATAATGCTAGCCGACCATACCTAAACAGTACAAAATGGACTGGTACCTGGTTAATGGCTTACCATATGTTAATTTCTCATTTCTCGGGATTAATTGGAATGTTTTAAAACAAACTATTTTTTTGTTTTTTAAATTTTTTTGTTTTGAGATGGAGTCTTGCTCTGTCGCCCAGGATGGAGTGCAGTGGCGCAATCTTGGCTCACTGCAGCCTCCGCCTCCCAGGTTCAAGCGATTCTCCTGCCTCAGCCTCCGAAGTAGCTGGGATTACAGGCATGAGCCACCATGCCTGGCTTGTTTTTATATTTTTAGTAGAGATGGAGTTTCACCATGTTAGACAGGCTGGTCTTGAACTCCTGACCTCAGGTGATCCGCCCACCTTGGCCTCCCAAAGTGCTAGGATTACAGGCATGAGCCACTGTGCCCAGCCTTTTGCAATGTTTTTTGAGACGGAGTCTCTCTCTGTTGCTGGGCTGGAGTGCAGTGGCACAATCTCAGCTCACTGCAACCTCCACCTCTCAGGCTAAAGCAATTCTCCTGCCTCAGCCTCCCGAGTAGCTGGATTACAGTCATGCGCCACCACGCCCAGCTAATTTTTGTAATTTTAGTAGAGACGGGCTTTTGCCATGTTGTCCATTCTGGTCTCAAACTCCAGGCCTCAGGTGATCCGCCTGCCTCGGCTTTCTAAAGTTCTGGAATTACAAGTGTGAGCCACCGCGCCCAGCCTAAAATATAAGTTTATGAAACAAAAGAAATGTAAGGCTCATTTTACTTCATTTAAATTATGAAGGCAGTATACAGTCATATAAACATAATGTATTTTGATACAAATCCTTGTAGATGGGATTCCAAAGCCAATAGCACTGTCTTCCAATGTGAAGATACTAAGTCAAATATGAAGATATTAAGTAAGTGAATGCATACCACTCACAGGGCTGAAGGGATTGAAATGCCTTAAAAGAAGCATCCATTCCAGCAAAATCCCAAAACTTAACATCAGAGTCATATCCTCCTGTCACCAAACGGGCACCTGAGGGATCCAGACCCAAAGCAGACACCTGGTTTTAAAAAAATAAAATAAAATGACTGGAGCAAAATGACATATGGTCAATTATAACCCCCATTTCTGTTCTTTAATCCCACCCCCTATGTTATAGGCCTTGGAAGCACAAACCACCAACTATTGTTACTTCTGAAAAGCGGGAATGGATGGTGCCTTCTATATTCTTAGACTTTGTTACTATATTAATTCTTTTGCAATAAAGAAAAATACTTTAAATCTATTTGACAATTTTGTCCCAAATCATCAACTATGTACTCAGAATAGCTATCACTGCAATTCCGTAAGATAAACTAAGGTGCTTTAGTGTACAAGTAAAAATCTTACAAATAATTACAATAATTCAGCATTTTCAATATACAATCTAAGGAAAACTTTTAAGATAGTTTAATCATAACTGAATGAAAACCATATGAATCTGAAATTACCAAAATGAGTAACACCAAGGGAGCTTTAAGAAATCTATTTAACAAAGTAGAACAAAGCAGAATTATCTGTCCCTTATGGTCAAATGGCTCCGTATATTCACCTTAAACAATTATTTTTAAAGTTGAATTTTTAAGTGACTAATCACATAATAATAGTACTTATATTGGCTCCATAAAATATTTGCTTTCGGCTGGGCACGGTGGCTCATGCCTGTAATCCCAGCACTTTGGGAGGCCAAGGCAGGGAGATCACTTGAGGTCAGGAGTTTGAGACCAGCCTGGCCAACATGGAGAAACCCCATCTTTACTAAAAATACAAAAATTAACTGAGCGTGGAGGCATGCACCTGTACTGCTGAGGCACAAAAATCGCTTGAACTTGGGAGGCGGAGGTTGCAGTGAGCCAAGATCGTGCCACTGCATTCCACCCTGGGTGACAGAGCGAGACTCTGTCTTAAAAAAAAAAAAAATTTGCAGGCCAGGCACCCTAGCTCATGCCTGTAATCCCAGCGCTTTGGGAGGCTAAGGCGGGCGGATCACCTGAGGTTGGGAGTTCGAGATCAGCCTGACCAACATGGAGAAACCCCATCTCTACTAAAAATACAAAATTAGCCAGGCATGGTGGCGCATGCCTGTAATCCCAGCTATTTGAGAGGCTGAGGCAGGAGAATTGCTTGAACTCGGGAGGCAGAGGTTGCAATGAGCTGAGATGGTGGCTGTGCACTCCAACTGGGCAACAAGGCGAAACCCTGTCTCAAAAAAAAAAAAAAAAAAAAATTGCTTTCCCTGTGAACTTTCCTAGGTCCAATTCACACGTCAATATCCAATGTGTAACTCCTTGTTCCTAAGATATATGTAGCTTTCTCTCGAAGCAGAAAGTGCCTAGATCTACTGCCCTCTAAGAAGAAAAGAACTGCAGTAGGAATATTTAATGCGATTACCATACATTGGACACAGTAAAAGAATCAAAGGTTTTTTTTGTTTTGTTTTCTTTGAGACAGAGTCTCACTCTGTCATCCAGGCTGGAGTGCAGTGGTGCAATCTCGGCTCACTGCAACTTCTGCCTGCTGGGATCAAGCGATTCTCCTGCCTCAGCCTCCTAAGTAGCTGGGATGACAGGCACGTAGCACCACGCCCAGCTAATATTTGTATTTTTTAGTAGAGAAGGGGTTTCACTTGTTGACCAGGCTGGTCTCAAACTCCTGATCTCGGGTGATTTGCCTGCCTCAGACTCGCAAAGCTGGGATTAGAAGTGTGAGCCACGGCGCCTGGCCAGAGTCAACGTTTTACATAAAGGAAGTTTCTATAAATCAGTTCTCCTAATAAATAGACTTGAAATGTAATTAATATAATTAAATAAGTCAGATACTGACAAAATAACATATTCATTTCAATTAGCACTTGCAAATACCGATTTCATAATATAAGGGAATCATACATAAATAATAATACTTATGTTAAAATTAGACGTGAACTCTAAAGATGTCAAGGAAAATATACAAGTGAAAACAAAGTCATTTTTTATGCCCGAACAATAATGTCTTAAAAAACAATCAAAAACAAAAATAAATGAACAGTAGTTTTAAAAATCTAGAAGTGGCTTCTGCTACCACCACCTACAAACTCACTTGCCTCTACATTCATTATGCTATCCTTCTTCCCTCCTGTTACAATTTAAAAGTTATTTCTCCTCCTAATAAGGCTAACCCCACCAGTGTTCATCTCACTACAACACAATATAAAATTACAACTTCATCTGTGGTTCCTTATTCTGTACCTATCCTTCCCTCAAGAGTATTAGCACCATATGGACAGAGACCTTGTCTGTGCCCAGCACTGAACCTGGCACAAAATACAAACTCTACTAAATATGTGTTTAAAAGAAAGGAAAACTAAAAATTGTAAAATCCTATGTAAAACAAACATGCAGTCTGACAAATATGAGATAAATTCCTTTCTATCAAGGAAGAACAGAATAAATTGCAAACTTGACTGTTCTCCTAAGAAGAAAGATGACAAATTAAAAAGCAAAATTACAAAATGAGGCTTTCAGTGCTACCATTCACTGAAGTATCAGGATCTCTGCTGCTGACTGTATATATGATTCGTCATTTACCAAAAGGATATGAAGGAGGTAATTAGAAAGATAGAAAACAGAGCTCAGAGGCTGGGCGCAGTGGCTCACGCCTATAATCCCAACACTTTGGGAGGCTGAGGTAGGCGGATCACCTGAGGTCAGGAGTTCAAGACCAGCCTGGCCAACATGGCAAAAACCCATCTCTACTAAAAATACAAAAATTACCCGGTGTTGTGGCGAGTGCCAGTAATCCCAGCTACTCGGGAGGCTGAGGCTGGAGAATCACTTACCCCTGGGAGGTGGAGACTGCAGTGAGCCGAGATGGCACCACTGCACTCCAGCCTGAGTGACAGAGCAAGACTTTGTCTCAAAAAGAAAACTGTCTTGTTCCAACTTGGGAATGAGCACAAATTTTCAGTTTTAACATTTATATTAAAAGAACTAATGTGTATCACCCTCTCTCCTTTCAAAAAGCTTTAGACTTTATCATCACATTCAGTGGGAAGGGTTCAGTTGACTATTATGCCATAGTAAGTATATTCACTAAATATTCACTAAAAGGAGAAAAAGAGCACAAAATCTTATAAACTTAGAGATATAAAAAATAAACATAATGATAACTCTCCTAAGAGTACATCAGACATCATTAAGAGACTGATTTGAACAAACTGACTCAGAGTCACAAGACTTGAGTGAGTCTCGTGTTCATTTTACTGAAGTGCTCTTAGAAGGTCTGTGCTATAGAACTGTCTTTCAGGCTCCCACAGTGTGTAGCTATATAACCTCTCCCAGTGGCTGATTTCTTTTAAAACTCTATATTGGAGACATGAAAGTCTTACTTTTATTTGAAGTATAATTTACTCAACTAATTTAAACTCATATGCGAATATTAAACATCTCAAACTTATTCATAATGGCATTTACGGTATTTGACAGTGTAAGGTTTGTGTGTGTGGTTTAGCCGTTCACATTAATTTCAGATACATCCGGTTTCTCAAAGAGGCAGCAGAATATCTTTTGCTTAATATAGACTCATTTGGAAGAGAAATCTTCAGATTTTATTTTTGGATATCATAATGAATGCTGCTGATAAAGCCATATGAAATCATAGATGTGTACATGACTAGAATTTTCCTTTTCTGATTTTTTTATAACTTTCAAATATTGCTTCTGGGTGTACTTTTAAATTAAATCAAAATAAATGCATAAGAGAAAAAATCCTTCACATAATATCCTGTCAGTAAAATTAGTAAAACCTGGAAAGCAATTTCTATTTTAGTATGTGGATAAGGAGATAAGATTCAATATCTGTTCATTTTCACTATGGCAAGAAAAAAAGTGTAATTTTCAGTACTCTTGCTAACTTCTATTATCCACATGGGAGCTGTTATTATCTGCATAATGTACTGAAGCATTTGCTATCAAGCTTACTGTTCAAATTAGTCTCCCTTGGTTTCAAGTCACTTTCACTTGAAACGATAAAATTAAATTAGCAGTCTTACCCAGGTCAGTGTGAAGTTTCTCCTGATGAATTTTCCAAGATATTGTTGCTCTGTTATAGTTTTCATATCATAACTTTGGGTGCAATTGAAACAGATATTTTTCCCCCATTTGTAGGGATTTTTTAATAAATGAGGGCAATATATAATTTCGTTTAATTCAATTTCTTTCATTTTGCTACTGTGCAGCAGCTTCAAATAGCAATAAAATGAACATTTTAAAGCATATCTTAGACTTTTATTTTGGTGTTTTAAAGTGCAATGAGGTTTATATTAAAATTAAAACATTGATATGATAAAATAACACTGGATCCCAATTGTAATAAAAATTGCATTTTCTCTTTTAAATACGAAGTAAAGTTACTCTGAAATTATGTTTAAGAAAGAACTAGCCACTTTTTTTCTTGCTATAGTTTTCCCTTTTTATATATTATTGCATTTCTTTTGTTTCTCCTTGGCATGCATTTATCAAATATAATCAGAGGAGGTTTTGTTTGTTTATTTGTGGTCTCAGAGTGTAGGGATTTCAAAGAATGTTTTAACAAATGAAAACAACTAGAGCAGACATATAAATAGTATCATTTACATTCAAATTGTATTGAATTTTGTCACTGCTGGGGGATGGATAAAATGTGGAAGTGACAAAGATTCAAACATTCTGAACAATTGAGGTAGCTGTATTTTGCCCTGATTGTTTGAAACTAGAGATAATTTTTTTTTACCCCCAGGCTGTTTTTATAAGGAATTCCCTTCAGTTACTCAAATACACCTCTTCCTTCACACTCAGTGCATTTTTTCCTCGTGTTCTCTCTGCTTGGAAAACACTCACCCTATTCATTGCTTGATTAACTTTTTTTCTCCTTCCAACCATAGTTTCATCACTTCTGCAAGTGCTTCTCTGACATCCTTAGACTAAGTTGAGTACACATCTTTTGCATTCCTGCAGCACCTTGCTCTCACCTCTGATTATTAATTGTATCTTGGCTAGCTCATCTTTAAGGTATGAACTGCCTCATTCATTTGTATTTTTCCAGAGTTTTACATTTGTTCAATAGAGTGGAAATGTAATACTATTTGTTGAAAGACTGATTGACGAAGAAAATGAATAATTCAGTGATAGGTTAGGTAAATTGTTTAGGGAAGTAAAAGTAAATGACAACAACAAAGAAGCTAAACGTGAAAAATCACTTAAGGTGAAATAAAGCTTTTCATAATAAATTCTGTTCCATCTTTCCTTACAATGTATATGTATTTCTGACTTAGACATCACATCCGGCACTCTCTCTCTCACTCTGTGTGTGTGTGTGTGTGTGTGTGTGTGTGTGTGTGTGTACTATGAGATGGAGACAGAGAGAAGGAAGAGAGGAAAGAGAGGGAGAGACTGAATGTCTTTAGACAAGCATCCTCTTTTCAGTTTCAATTCTCTACCTTTCTCTAATTCAACAAATCATCTGACCACTTCACATCTTTATGTTACCTGACTTACCCCAGAAAGCAAGCATTTGAATTTGAAGCCTTTTCTTCTAACTACTTGGAACTAATAATGGTCTATTAGGAAAGGGAAATTAAAAAGAAATATTTGCTTTACCCCGGCAATTTTTTTAGCACAAGGATTGGCCATTATATTATTTTGAAAATTCTGATCTTCTAGTACATTTACTTCTCCTTTTTTTAAATTAGTTACTCACTTTAAATATAAACTTTTCAGAAAAACAACCACATCTACACAATCCCTATAAAAATTTTAAAATCAAAAATTTCTGAAGATAAACAGTCTGTCATTGATCTGACTACAAAACCTGACTAGAACTCATGTAAATTTAATGTTGGTATTTATTTATTCCACTTAGAGTATTTATACATTTTGCAGCAGAAATATGAATGTAGTTGACTATGAGTTGTTGTGAATATTTAAAATATGTTCCAAATTCCTTCCTAAAATAAACATAAAAGTAATTTAAATTCTGAAACTCATCTGGTCCCAAGAATTTTAAATAAGGTAGTACAGAAACATAAAAAATAAATATAAGATCATTTCAAATGTAAATATAGGTAGACTTGGAATAAATAAAAAAGAAAGTTCAAATGCAGATGCACAGATTCTACAGTTTTATATCATTACAAAGTTGATTCAAACTGTACTTTAGCTGGTGCAGTGACTCTTGGTATAATCCCAGCACCTTGGGAGACTGAGGTGGGAGTATGACTTGAGCCCAGGAGTTCAAGACCGACCTGGGCAACATAGTGAGACTCTCTCTCTCCCCCAAAATTTTTAAAAATTAGCCTTGCATGATTGCATGCACCTCTAGTCCCAGCTCCTCTGGAGGCTGAGACAGGATGATCCCTTGGCCAAGGAGGTGGAGGATGCAGTGAAATCTGATCACTCCACTGCACTCCAGCCTGTGCGACAGAGCAAGACCCCTGTCACCAAAAAATAAATAAATAAATAAAAATGTAGTTTAATTTTCTCAACAGCTAAACCAAAGGATTAGAAAAAAATTACTCTGTTCCACTACAAGTCAAAGAAAAATTATGTTAGAGTGCAATGAAAAAAAACATCAAACAATAATTCATAATTCATCATATATCTCTCAATTCTGATGCTATTTTGCCTGATAACTTGACATTATTTTATACATTTCTGAATAGAAAGTTTCTCCACTTATAGGATATAGTAATTGCACTTAAAATTTCTTGAGTATCTTCCAGTTTTATAGTATCACCAATTGGGTCATAAAGTAAAAAAATAAGAAATAATAGTTAATATAATCACCTCAAATATAATTGTAGTTAGCATAGTTATTTAGACCATTAACTTATTACCAGCAAAATGTAGTTATCAATAACTCTGACAAAAAAGTAAAAATAATAAGCATTAGCAAGAAAATTGGTAGCTTATTGAGAAAAAAAAAATTTTCCTCTAGGTGATGGGCCTTTGTGCAGACTACATATACTGGCTCCAAAAAGAAGTAAAAAGTAACACCTCCCACAGCTGGCATGGAAAGGATGCTTTGTTTAGTGATATTACACAGACATTCAATTTTTTCTATGAGAAAGCTGTTTTTTACTTCAATCTAAGTATGAACATGATTAATATATCTGGTTACTATAATTTCTTTTCCAGGATAGAAATTCCCATAATTAGGCATTTTAAACAACTCATTGATCAAGTTGTGTTTAATAATATAATCAGCTAGACTGTTTATTTTTATGTCTTAAAATATATTACTATAATATTTAAGTTTAAAGATATCCATAATCATGCCACCTTAATCTAATGAGTTAACTTTTTATTCTCCTTTTCATACATACTATTTGACATACAATCATTTTTAATATTATCTAGATACTGGAGAGAATTATGAAAGATAAAGATTTAATACTGTAAATAAAACATTTTACCTAGAGAAGCAGTTCCTGGAGACACACTTGACAAATAATGACATCTTGCCCAACATATCTTAGGGGTAATACTTGCAGTGACTAGTTAAGGAGAGTGGTGAGTTGCCCAGAGCATATGAAACCCTCTGTACATATTTTCATTTTTCATACTATGTTTAAAGTTATTGCTCAAGTATTCTAAACCTATATGACTAGAAATTGAGATTTTCAAAGCAAAGTAAGCTATTTTTTTAAAAAAAAAAAAAAGAATTCTTGCCTTCAGTCTTTTTTGGTTTGAATCATGTGTATTTCACATTAGGCAATTATTTTATATCCAAACAGGGCTTACTTTCTTTGTATCAATTTGAATCTTATCATCCTGAATTCAGAGAAGTGTGACATTATAAGGCATTTTTTAAAGAGATTTTTGAAAAACTTTATGCTAACTCGAAAGATCTACCACAGTCTTCAGGCTATATACAGGAAAACTTGACATAATTTAAGTTTAAAATTAGCAGATATATGAATATACACAAATGTATTTAGTTATACAAAGTAAAAGTTAATTTTAAAGGCCAGAAAAAACGGTGCAGTCATTAAACAATTATTAATTTTATATTAAAATTACATAATCTATCATATTAGTGCATAAAATTATTTTTTACAACTGACTGACAAGATGTGTGCTATACAATCTACAACAATGTGTAGTGTCATTAAACTGTTACACTCAGGAAGGCCTGAAAATTTAATAGGAATTTATTACAAAATAAGTTTTCTCAGAGTGCTAAAATATCTTAACCATGTTTAAAAATACACTTCAATGAAGAACATATAATGGGTTTATATACATCTCCCAATCAAATAAAAAACAGAACTATAAACATTTAGGCCAATTTCAACTGAAAATGATGAGTGCAGCTTTTTGCACAATGAATGAATTTTTAAAATTCCATCAATTGAACTTTTTCCTCAGCAAGCATATCAGAAAATGACTCAGTTCAGACTTGTCTGTTAATGTATTAATTTTAAAAGTCTCTTATCTTGCTTTTGCAACCTCCCTTCTAAGCCACTATCTTTCTGAATGGCACTGAACTTTAACAGAGAAAAGGTGCTTTCTATGCAGAAGATGAAAAATGCCTACAGCAGCAAAAAGTACGCCAAATAGACGTGAAGCCAACAAAGTTCCTCAATGGGATGGGGTAGAGCAGGAACACAGCTCTTCGTGAATCCATAATATCAAATCCTATCTTAAAGCAGTGCACTTGTTCTATATACGCTGTTCTAATGGTATAAATACCCTGAGAGTAGAATGATACAGTTCATGCATATTAAAGAAACACTGCAATGAATAACACTAGAATATGTTTTCCTACATCTGTGTCACTCATTCTGGATAAGTATTTAATAGCCAAGATATTTTGAAGTTTACAAGTTGTTCACAGTGTGAACTCCAAAACATGGATAGAAACTAGTAGTTTTTACTCTGATTACAAATACAGTGCATTCTCTATAGATAATTTGAAAAATAAACATCAACCGAAATTATATCACCTCAAGATAACACCTGTTAGTATTTTCTCCCTGTAATCATTCTATCCAATTTAATTTATATTTATATAATCCATTTTGACTTATGAAATTTTAAAGTCATATAATTATACTTATTTAAAATACATTTATATTTTTATTTAAAATGGCAATATTTGACTGTTTTGACTAAAAAAAAGGGTAATGACTTACAATTCAATTTTATTTAATACACAGTTTTATCCTGCTTTCTCCTCTAATATTATATTGTCATCATTTAAACATGTCTTGATTTTTGTTCGTTGCCTAAAATTTCTTTCCACAGTTGTTACTATATTTTTGTATAATAACTTCCTAACTTTTTGACAGTTTGGTTACTTAAAACTTCTTATTATTTTAAACTGCTATGAACAGCTCTGTTCAGAGTTCTTCATACAAGTCTCTAGATAGTTGCTTAGGACAGATTGTTACAATTACCAGACATTAAATCTTTAAGTGTCTTGATCCATATAGCCAAATTTGTTTTCATAATAATAATATCAATGTACACTGCCACGGACAGCGCACGGTCATCCATCTAATTGCTCTCAACAATAGCAATATACTCTCTAACTATTGCTTACATAGTAGGTGAAAAGAGTTTTTGAATGTGATTAAATAGTGGGGTGCCTACACTATTGTTAAAGCATAATAAGATTAGAATGTCTAGCTCAACTTCTGAGTTTATTTCCTGTTCTACTAAAAACCCAACAGAATGACATTAAAGAAACTTGAGGGGAAAAAGGATAAGCCAGAAGCACAAGGAAAATGGGAAGAAAATTCTTGCCATGCTATCACCAGGCAAGAGAGTCAACACATTTCTCAAAGATGAAAAACTAAGGAAATAGTGTTAATTGTGATGGATATGCCCCACAAAATGGAGCTAAAGCAATGGGTTCAGTTATTTAGCTTAGCTTATACCCCAAGACACAGGAATACAATTAATGTACATTCAATGGAGGGCAGGAAGGAGAAGGGCAGGTATTAATTAAAAGGTTACATTGAAAAAGTCGAACTTCTCTACATATTTTCCCTGCCCTTTCTACAAAATGATCACCACACAGAAATTAGATAATCACAACTAAATACAATGTTTAAAAATCAGGGACAATTTACCTGGTGTGGTGTACAGTGTGAAGAGAAGAAATCTTTGGTCCAATCTAATAAGAGGTCTGGTGTTTTAAATTAAAGGTTAGAGAACATAATTCTAACAGATCCTTGACTATTTCTTAAAGTAGAACTTAAAACTAGGTGTGCTTGACCCATACCCTCAGAGCTCCTAAGAATTTATTTTGTTTTATTCTTAAATATGAGAGGGAAACCAAGGGTTATCCAAATTGTTTCAGAAATTGCAGGAGGAAAGAGAAAAATTCTAGATAATAAAATACACAATTTGATGTTAGAGTAGACGTAATCCAAATATTTAGAACTAAATTTAATTTAGTAGCCTCAGATAAATGATAATATAAGAATAAGAGATACCATGAAATAGCAATGTTCAGAGAGGGAGAAATATCTCTTGGAAATTAAAAATATAACTGAAAAAATTAAAATGCAATAGAAAGTTTAGAAACTCAAATGAAGAAAATACCCAAAAATGTAGAATAAAAGGTAAGTCGAAAATATAAAGTACCTAATTGATTCCAAATGTCCAACAGTTTCAAAGGCAGAAAGCTTGATTATACAATCATTTACACCAATATGCTGGATTTAAGAGTGACAAGCTTCTTTAAACTGCCGTTCATGCTGAAGAAGATAATATAAGTGAACACACTTGTCATGAAATTTCAGAACACTGTGGATAAAGTCAAGGATTCTGAAATTTCTGTAAAAAAAAAAAGTAATGTGAATCAGGTTAAAATCAAACTGATTGCTGGAAGAAAATATGCTGAGGTTTTCAACTACAAATTTTCAACTACAAATAAAAGATTTCAACTACAAATTTTGCCCAACAAAATTGTCAAGTGAAGTGCAGAATAAAGGCAACTTTGGATATAAAAACATCCAGAAATTTTACCCCTTGAATACCATATGCTAAGAAGTAACCTGAGGATTGCTTTGCAAAATATGAGATTATTCCAAGAAGATTGAAGCAAACAAAATTTGGACTCAGAAAAGTAAGGAAAGTACAAGTAGAGAATAACATCTATGCAGAAGGCCTAAAGAAATCATTAGACTCAATGATGAGAACAGATGAAGAGGGTAACAGGGTAAGAGGGCCAGGTGGATATAAATGCTTTTGCATCTCTTGGATTCCGTAGATCAATAGATAAGCTTGAGACATTGACACAGTTTAGGCATGTCATAAAAAGGCAGATAAGAAAAATATAAGCAATAAGTACCTCCTGGTGATGGGATGATGGCAACTGTGACAAAATACATCTATATCTATCTATCTATCTATCTATCTATCTATCTATCTATCCATCTATCTATCTATCTATGTATATATGTGTCTATATATGTAGTAGCACATCCTTTGGCTCTGAATTGAACAATATTTACTTAGTCATTATAATGCAAGTCTTTTTTTTATTATTATTATACTTAAAGTTTTAGGGTACATGTGCACAATGCAGCTTAGTTACATATGTATACATGTGACATGCTGGTGCGCTGCACCCACTAACTCGTCATCTAGCATTAGGTATATCTCTCAATGCTATCCCTCCCCCCTCCCCCTACCCCACAATAATCCCCAGAGTGTGATGTTCCCCTTCCTGTGTCCATGTGTTCTCATTGTTCAATTCCCACCTATGAGTGAGAAGATGTGGTGTTTGGTTTTTTGTTCCTGCAATAGTTTACTGAGAATGATGATTTCCAATTTCATCCATGTCCTTACAAAGGACATGAACTCATCGTTTTTTATGGCTGCATAGTATTCCATGCTGTATATGTGCCACATTTTCTTAATCCAGTCTATCATTGTTGGACATTTGGGTTGGTTCCAAGTCTTTGCTATTGTGAATAATGCCGCAATAAACATACGTGTGAATGTGTCTTTATAGCAGCATGATTTATAGTCCTTTGGGTATATACCCAGTAATGGGATGGCTGGGTCAAATGGTATTTCTAGTTCTAGATCCCTGAGGAATCGCCACACTGACTTCCACAATGGTTGAACTAGTTTACAGTCCCATCAACAGTGTAAAAGTGTTCCAATTTCTCCACATCCTCTCCAGCACCTGTTGTTTCCTGACTTTTGAATGATTGCCATTCTAACTGGTGTGAGATGGTACCTCATTGTGGTTTTAATTTGCATTTCTCTGTTGGCCAGTGATGGTGAGCATTTTTTCATGTGTTTTTTGGCTGCATAAATGTCTTCTTTTGAGAAGTGTCTGTTCATGTCCTTCACCCACTTTTTGATGGGGTTGTTTGTTTTTTTCTTGTAAATTTGTTTGAGTTCATTGTAGATTCTGGATATTAGCCCTTTGTCAGATGAGTAGGTTACAACTATCTGATTTTTGACAAACCTGAGAAAAACAAGCAATGGGGAAAGGATTCCCTATTTAATAAATGGTGCTGGGAAAACTGGCTAGTGATATGTAGAAAGCTGAAACTGGATCTCTTCCTTACACCTTATACAAAAATCAATTCAAGATGGATTAAAGACTTAAACGTTAGACCTAAAACCATAAAAACCCTAGAAGAAAACCTAGGCATTACCATTCAGGACATAGGCATGGGCAAGGACTTCATGTCTAAAACACCAAAAGCAATGGCAACAAAAGCCAAAATTGACAAATGGGATCTAATTAAACTCAAGAGCTTCTGCACAGCAAAAGAAACTACCATCAGAGTGAACAGGCAACCTACAAAATGGGAGAAAATGCAAGTCTTATTAATTAGTTTAAATGTATCTGACCCTAATTGGCTCTATGTGCATTTTGTTTGCAGCCCATTAAGAAGAATAATATTGAAAAAATGAAGACAGAGATAAAAATATCACAGTTAAACCAAATTATTAGGACCAAAGAAGAAACTTAGACAAATATATGAAAGAATTTTAAATAAAGAACCACATTTCAAATAAACCTGAGGACAGATAAAACTTAAAATGTTTTGACCTTAAATTTTTATATAAGTAATTTCAGCAGAAAAGGTTAAAAGTTAGCCTTGTTTTACCAATGTTAATTTAAATATTTTTATTATGCATAGAAAGTTCAAACACCAAATGTAATTGAGTTATAAATGTTCAATAAGTAGCTTATTTGTCCTGTTTTTTTTTCCTTAATATTATTTCCTCCACATTCCTTCTCAAAAATAGGACGTATATAGATGGTGAGAAATGAAGACAATATAATTACCTGTCCCTACATAAAAAATGAAACCATGCACATTTTTCTATTCCTAGTTAAACAATTCTGACACCAAACAAAAAATAACCTAGCAGTTGGCCCTAGGAAATTATTTCCTCACAGAAAATGAGTTTGTAACCCAAATAAATGATTCTACATGTCAAAACTAAGAACACTATCAAGACTCATTTTAAGACCATCGATTTGAGGAACCCACCAATCCAAAGCTATTATATCATAATTCTGTTTAATTTCAAGTTTCTTATCTTGTAAAATCACCTAAAATACCAAAATAAAAGTCTTATTTCTTTTAACAACCCTTTCTCCTTTCGAAACACAAATAAGGCTCTGCTAAGTAGTTCATGTTCTCTCTTGCTGCGGTAAGTTTAATAAGCTTAATTTTTGTTGATTAACAAATTTTCCCAGTGATCTTGGTGTGGAGTGGAGATCTTGGAAAATTCCAGAGACTCCACCAAGATCCAGCAGAAACCACCTTGCCAAAAGGGCTCAAGATCATCACCTCTGAATCAGAGTCCTTAGTTTAGGTTCTTATTTAGATTCTTCCTAGCTAAAAAGCAGGCCACCAGAATAGAGTCACCTCAGCTTTTCCTAAGGAGACCAACTATATTTGGAAGGCAGTGTAGAAGTTTATGTCTAAGGGTATTGTCAAAAATACTGGAGATTTTGATTGTGAACAACTAAAAGGAGACAAAAGTAGGAGACCAGCTACAAGATTATGTTTATAAGAGAGAAACAGGGAAAGAAACAGCTAAGAAGGGCCCTCCTAAAGTATAAGGTCAGACTAAGCCTAATATATCTACTCGTGCAAAGCGGCCCAACATTAATTGGATCAGACTGTTTTATAATACATGCCCCGTTGGTCAAAAACAATACAACAATCAGCTAGAATTTGGTGGAGGTCAACAATGGAGGCTGAGTGTCCGATCATGTGTTAGTCTGTTTTCACGCTGCTGATAAAAACATACCAGAGGCTGGGTAATTTATAAATTAAAAAAAGTTTAATGGACTCACAGTTCCACGTGGCGGGGAGGCCTCACAATCATGGCTGAAGGCGAAATGCACACCTTACGTGTCAGCAGACAAGAGAAGACAACTTGTGCAGGGAAACTCCCCTTTATAAAACCATCAGATCTCATGAGACTTATTCACTATCATGAGAACAGCACAGGAAAGACCTGCCCCCATGATTCAATTACCTCCCACTGGGTCCCTCCCACAACAGGTGGGAAATGTGGGAGCTACAATTCAAGATGAGACTGCGTTGGGAACACAGCCAAACCATATAAGATAATAAGAGGCAGATGAGCCAGTTAATCAACTGAGAAAGCAAAGGTCAAAGAGACATCCTGGCTAAATTACCAGTCCTCTCACTGGTAGTCAGGGACTTAATACAAACCCACGCTGCACAATATAAGGTATGACATCAGAAGCTGCATACTGTGGGGTAAATAAACTTCACCCAAATCCTCCATTCAAATCAGTAAACAAACAAGTAAACAACCAAACAATAACATGCTTTTGAAGGGATAAGTATCCAGAGTTGATACAATATATTGTCTAAAGTATCCAGTTTCCAGCACACAATTATGAAATATGTGTTATGGACAGAATGTTTGTGCCCTTCCAATATGATGGTATTAGGAGGTGGGGCCTTTGAGAGGTAGTTAGGTTATGAAGATGAAGCATGTTCATTTCCTCTTATCAGAACACTGTAAGAGCTCATCCTTTTTCTCTTTGCCCTCAGCCATGTGAGTATACGAAGAGAATGTGCTCACCAACTACTGAATCTGCTGGCACCTTGATTTTGGTCATTCCAGCCTCCAGAACTGTGGTAAATTATTATTTATTGTTTTACCCACCCAATCCATGGTATTCTGTTATAGAAGAGCAAACTAAAACACCATGCAAAGAAATGGGAAAATAGGTCCCATACACAGAAAACTAAAAAGAAAAGTGGCCAATAGAAACAGATTTTGACAGGGCCGAGATACAGACCAAAATAAAAACAAAACTTCAAAGCATCTAATATAAATAGAAATGCTAATATTAAAAAATTAAAGAAAATCATGATTAAGTAAGGGATAGTATAATGGCAATGTCTCATTAAATTAGAGATATCAATAAAGAGATAAAACATTTTTAAAAACCAAATAGAAGTTCTGGAGGTGAAAATTAAAATGCTCAATATGGAAAATTTACTAAAGGGAATCCATAGTAGATATAGCCTTGTAGAAGAAAATGAAATCAACACCCTTGAAGACAGGTGGATAGAGAATGACAATCTCAGGACAAGGAAAAAAAATAAAGAAAAGTAAACATAATCTCAGAGAAATAAGAGTATCAGTTAATGCAACAACATTCTAGAAGCACCAGAAGAGGAGAGAAAGACATATTGGAATAGGAAACATATTGGAATTTTTTTTTTTTTTTTTTTTTTTTTTGAGACAGAGTCTCGCTCTGTCGCCCAGGCTGGAGTGCCGTGGTGAAATCTCGGCTCACTGCAACCTCCGCCTCTGGGATTCAAGCAATTCTCCTTCCTTACCCTCCTGAGTAGCTGGGATTACAGGTGCACGCCACCAAGCCCAGCTAATTTTTCTATATTTAGTAGAGACAGGGTTTCACCATGTTGGTCAGGCTGGTCTCAAACTCTTGACTTCATGATCCACCCAACTCGGCCTCTCAAAGTGCTGGGATTACAGGCATGAGCCACTGCACCCGGCCACATATTGGAAAACTTAATGGCAGAAAACTTTCCAAATGTGATGGAAAATGATCTGTATATCCTAAAATTTAATGAACTCCAAGTAGGATAAATACAAATAATCTACACACAGATATATCATGATCAGAATGTTAAAACCCAAAGACAAACATAACATTTTGAAAGGACAAAGTGAAACAGCTAACACTTCCTTCATTAAAAACTTACTAAAAATCTCTTGTAATAAAGACAGAGTGGTACTGGATGAAGGGTAGATATATCGATTAATTAACCGTATTAAGAGTTCAGAAATGAAGTCATATATTTGTGGTCAAATGGCTTTTTATGTGGGTGGCAAAACAATTCAGTGGTGAGTTTTCAGCCAATGAAGCTGGAACAACTATATACGGACATTAAAAAAAAATAAATTCAGACTCCTATCTCATACTATTCACAAAAATTAACACAAAATGGAAGAGCTAAGCCTATAAAACTCTTAGTAAAAAGCATAGAAATAAACTTTTGTAACCTTGGTTTGGCAGTGGTTTCTTAACTATGACATAAAAAGCACAAGCAACATTTTCTTTTTTTTTATGTTTTAAACCACATTTATTGGCAATGCATTGAGCACTTGGACAGAGTGGTGAACCAGATAGATGTGACAACTCACTGTGTTCACGGAGCTTACATTCTAGTAAAAGATACAGACATGTCACTATCATTTGAGAAATGTTACACTGGAGAAGTACAATGTTCTACAAGTGAGTTATTAAATTCTATGCTCAGCACCACCTCCCAGATTATTCTTTCAGCCATGTCTAATTAATTATTCAAACAACTAGTTGTCCCAATTGCCTAAAGTCTGGCTCTCCTTAGGCCTTTCCCCACCCTCAATGCAGAATGTCATCCAGGATCTCAAGTTGCATTTAGTTGTCTATCCACTCAGTTGATGGGCATTTATGCTGGTTCCATATTTTTGCAATTGCGAATTGTGCTGCTATAAACATGCATGTGCAAGTGTCTTTATCATAGAATGACTTCTTTTCCTCTGGGTAGATAACCAGTAGTGGGATTGCTGGATCAAATGGTAGGTCTACTTTTAGTTCTTTAAGGAATCTCCATACTGTTCTTCAGAGTGGTTGTACTAGATTATATTCCCATCAGCAGTGTAAAAGTGTTCCCTTTTTACCACATCCATCCCAACATCTATTATTTTTTATTTTTAATTATGGCTATTCTTGCAGGAGTAAGGTGGTGTCGCATTGTGGTTTTGATTTGTATTTCCCTGATTATTAGCAATGTTGAATATTTTTTCATATGTTTGTTGGCCACTTGTATGTCTTCTTTTGAGAATTCTCTATTTGCGTCCTTAACTCACTTTTTGATGGGATTATTATTATTATTATTGCTGATTTTGTTTTGCTTAGCCTTAGCTTTGGCTATGCAGGGTCTTTTATTGTTCATATGAATTTTAGAATATTTTCTCTAGTTCTGTGAAGAATTATGGTGGTATTTTGATGGGAATTGCGTTAAATTTGCACATTGCTTTTGGCATTACGGTCATTTTCACAATATTGATTCTACCCATCCATGAGCATGGGATGTGTTTCTATTTGTTTATGTCATCTATGATTCATTTCAGCAGTGTTTTGTAGTTTCTCTTGGAGGGCTCTTTCACATCCTTGGTTAGGTTTAATCCTAAGTATTTTTTATTTTATTTTTGGCAGCTGTTGTAAAAGGGATTGAGTCTTTGATTTGATTTTCAGCTTGGTCACTGTTGGTGTATAGGTGCTATTTATTTGTCTACATCGATTTTGTATCCTGGACTTTACTGAATTCATTTATCAGAGCTAGTTGCTTTTTGGATGAGCCTTTAGAGTCTTCTAGGTATACAATCATGTCATCAGTGAACAGAGACAATTTGACTTCCTCTTCACCAATTTGGATGCCCTTTATTTCTTTCTCTTGATCAATATATTTATTTCTCTGATTGGTCTGGCTAGAACTTTCAGTGCTAGGGTTGAATGAAAGTGGTGAAAGTGGGCATTCTTGTTTTGTCCCAGTTCTCAGGGGAAACGCTTTTAACTTTTCCCCGTTCGGTATAATGTTAGCTGTGCATTTGTCATAGATGGTTTTTATTACCTTAAGGTATGTCCCTACTATGCCAATTTTGCAGAGAGTTTTAATCATAAAGGAATACTGGATTTTGTCAAATGCTTTTTCTGCATCTATTGAGATGATCATATGATTTTTCTTTTTACTTCTTATTATGTGGTGTATCACATTTGTTTACTTGCATATGTAAAACCGATCCTGCATCCTTAGTATAAAACCCACTTGATGACGTTGTATTATCTTTGTGATATGCTGTTGGATTCAGTTAGCTAGGATTTTGTTGAGGATTTTTGCATCTGTGTTCATCAGGGATATTGGTCTATAGCTTTGTTGGCAGTGGCATTGTTATGTCTTTTCCTGGCTTTGGTATTAGGGTAATACTGGGTTCATAGAATCATTTAGGGAGGATTCCTTCTTTCTCTGTTTTTTTTGAATAGTTTCCATAGGATTTGTACCAATTCTTCTTTGAACGTCTGATAGAATTCAGCTGGGAACTCAGTCATGAAAAGGAATGAAATAATGGCATTGCAGCAACCCGGATGGAGGTGGAGACCATTATTCTAAGTGAAGCAATGCGCGAATGGAAAACCAAACATAGTATGTTCTCACTTATAAGTGGGAGCTAAGATATGAGCAAGCAAAGGCATTAAAAATGATATAATGGACTCTGGGGAATTGAGGGGAAGGGTGGGAGGAGGGTGAGGGATTAAAGACTGCATATTGGGTACAGCATACACTGCTCAGGTGATGTGTGCACCAAAATCTCAGAAATCACATCTAAAGAACTTATCCATGTAACCAAACACCACCTGTTCTACAAAAGCTATTGAAATAATAAATAAATAAAATTTTAAAAAGCACAAACAACAAAAGGAAAATATAGATAAATTGGACTTCATTAATATTAAAACATTTTTATTCAAAGGGCATCATCAAGAAAGTAAAAATACAGGAAATATTCATAAATCCTATATGTGATGAAGGACTTGTATCTAGAATTTATGGTGACTCTTGCAACTCAACAACAAAAAGGAAAGTCATCTAATTCAAAATGAGCAAAGGCCATATTTATCAAAATCAATATAAAAATAACCAATAAGAACATGAAAAGATGTTCAACATCATTAATCATTTGTGAAGTTCAATTCAAAACTCCAGTGAGATACCACTTCATACCCAACAGAATGATTATAAAATGGATAATAGGAGAATAATACACGTTGTCAAGGTTGAGAAGAAATTGGAACTTTTATACATTGCTGGTAGTAATATAAAATAAAATGGCATATCTATTTTGGAAACAGTTTGGTAGTTCCCCAAAATGTTAAACATATTACTGTGTGATCTTAAGTATATATGAAAACAAATGAAAACTTATGCTCACACAAACAATTGTATATAAATGTTCATGGCAGCATTATTCATGATAGCCAAAATGTGGGATGAACCCAAATGTTGACTGATTCTTAGAAAAATAAAATATGTTATATTCATATAATGGAATATTTTGCAGCCTTAAAGAGGACAGAAAATTCTGACATGTGCTACAACATAGATGAAGCTTGAAGACATTATGCAAAGTGAAATAAGTCAGTCAAAAAAGTCAAATACCACATGATTCTACTTATAGGAGGTACTTAGAGCAGTCAAAATTGTAGAAACATAAAGTAGAATGGTGGTTGCTAGGTATTGGGGCAGAAGGAAATGTAGATTTATTGTTTAATGGGTATGGATTTTCAGCTTTACAAAGTCAAAGAATTATCAAGATAGATGTTGATGATAGCTGTGCAGCATAATAAATGTATTTAATACCACCGAGCTGCACATTTAAAAATGGTAAACTTTATATTCTGTGCAGTTTTATCAAAATGGAAAAAAAGCCTTTGGACAAGAAAAATCAAATAAAAAAATTATTTGCCTCATAATCCAGGCCGGGAGTGGATCATAATTTGAAAAGACACAATCCCAGACACCATAATCTTGAATGTTGAAATCCCAAAAGATTAAATCCAAAAAACATAGTTCTGGAAAAAATAATTTCAAAAATTATGATATATGTATTTACCTTTTTGTAAGGGGGGTTATTTGAGAAACATCAAGCAACAATAGAACACTTCATAGGCCACTTTACACCATAAATTAGGCAATAATAACATACATATTTCTGTAAACATAAACGGGTATACTAATGACAGTTTCAAGAGTAAAACAGCAATAAACAGATAAGCCATATTCATAAATAAATAGGTCAAAAAGGGAAATGTATAAAAACCTACTACCATTATTGGTCATTGTGTGCACCAGCTTTCTAACTGTGGTCATCTGAAGTATCATGATGAACCATCAAAACCTTTTGAGGAAATAGATCAAAAACTGAGACAGGTCACCACCGCATATGCAGTCACCCAGAGAGCTGAGATGTCAATAAATTTTATCTTTCACAAATACAGATGTACAAAAAATAAAAATATATCTCTTCATTTATTGAGGAAGTTTCAATATTTCTACATACATGTACAATGCTTATACACAAAGTCAGTGTTGTGACAACACACTTTTATGGAGTCAAATTTGCAAAAAAAAATTGCATAAAATGAATTAATAAATTTCTGCACAATTTATATCTCCAGTACTGGAAATGACATGAAGATAAAATACATGGCATAGTGAATTGTAAAAAATAATTCTGACAAATTGAAATAGTGGGAAAAAAATTGAAAAAAACTGAAAAGAAAATTTCATATATGAAAAAGTATATTACAGGATACACTTTTATATTAGGGGTCGATTAGGAGCAATTGCATGGAGATAGTACAGAAGAGCTGGACTGATATGATGCACTATTCTGTGATTGCGATATTCAGATTTTTGACATTAGGGATTTTAGACTTTAGAGATTTTAACTTTAGGAATTTTGATCTTTTGTTATGTCAACACTTAGGATTATGGTGTTCAAGGTTGTTTCTTTAGAGATTATGATCCAAGCTCGACCAGGTGAATGTGAACATGTGTGGAACTTCTGCTTTACCATCCTTCATTTGCCTACCTCTGTGTGACAAGGTAGCTGTGATGACAGAGTCCAGCATCATGTGTGATTCAGCCATCCCAGAGCAGGCCTGGAGCATATGGTGGGGCACAGTATTGGTCCCAGAGACACCCCACTTCACCCACCTTCCAAGAACACGCACTCATCCTTCCAAGCCCTCTCTAGCTCTCATGACATCTGTATTTAGCCAAAATCAGAGCCTCTACCAGAAGAATAAAAGAGACACAATGGCCCCCTTTTCAGTACATCTGGCCAGAGCATTCCAGTCGAGCTTACCCAATGGCAGTGCAAGGCAGCCAGCTTCCCAGTGTCTAGGGAGGGACGTATGTATGGAATGAGCAAGCAGGCATCATCAATGGCTCCACTGGAGCAACAGCTTCCAGCCACACCAGTGGGCCCTGGACCCAGGGGTTACACACCTGTTCTTGCATTGGAGTTGTTACTGAGTGATGGATATAAATACAGTATATTTGAAAGGAGGAAGTGGGGAAAAAAGAAAAATGGAGCAAAGAAGTCATACAAGCTACAATATGAATAAACCTTGAGAACATCATGCTAAGTGAAAGAAACAAGTGACAAAAACACCATATATTGTATGACTCCATTTACATGAAATGTTCACAGTAGGAAAATCTATAGATAGAAAGTAGATTAATTATTGCCTGGGAAGAATAGGGAGGAATAGAGAAGGACTACTAATTGGTATGGGGCTTATTTTAAAAGTAACGAAAATTTTCCAAAATGATATTGTGGTGATGGCTGAACAACTCTGTGAATATAATAAAAACCATTGAACTATATATTTTAAATGGGTAAATTGTATGGTATGTGATTATTTCTCAGGGAAGATATATACCGGTTCAAGATATGGGACATACCCAATAGACAACTTGCACAGCACTCTAGGTTGACTTTTCCAGTTCTGTGTTACTGGAATAGTGCTATATCAATTTATGAATGTTACCTATAGACATAAGAATCTACTTTACTGAGTTTAAGCACAAAGGGATTTAACGAATATCAAGTTTCTCACAGAACTTCTACGTGGTCTAGAGATCCAAACTTGGGTGCTGGAAAAAAATAGGTCAGGTGGAGGCAACCCCAGTAGGAGAAATACCAAGCCACACACCACGGTACTCAAACACCTTGCACAATATTTTTTAATACAAAAGTTATTCATAGAACAATAAAGCGGACAAATTCCCAAACATTCAGTGGTTAACTGTATTAATCCATTTTCACACTGCTGATAAAGACATACCCGAGACTGGGCAATTTACAAAGGAAAGAGGTTTAATGGAGAACTCAAAGTTCCAGGTAACTGAGGAAGCCTCACAATCATGGCAGAAATCAAGAAGGAGCAAGTCACATCTTACGTGGATGGTGGCAGGCAAAGAGAGAGCTTGTGCAGTCAAATTCCCATTTTTTTTTAAACCATCAGATCTCATGAGACTTATTCACTATTATAATAACAGCAAAGGAAAGACCCGCCCCCAAAATTCAATCACCTCCCACTCACTGAGTTCCTCCCATGACACGTGGGAATTGTGAGAGTTACAATTCAAGATGAGAATTGAGTGGGACACAGCAAACCGTATCATCTACATATGCTTTTCACTGGTATTAGGAAGACTGAAGAAAAGCATTCAAATTCAAAAATTGCCTGCTTAAGAATTCCTTTAACAAGTCAAATAAAAATATATAGAAAACTTAGTATTATGTTGAAATTGGATTACCCTAAACTACAACTTGAACCTATCTTTATCCTATATTTCCTTTCTGATATCTTACAAATCTTTATTGCTCCCTGCTTCTACTCTTTCTTTGGCTCTCTTTCTTCCACTGTGGTCAAATAGACATTCTCAAAGCTCAGCCGTCCCTTTAAAATGAGGCTCCTTCAAAGGAAGTCTCTTGTGGTTAATATTAAGCCATGATCTCTATTAGATTTAAAAGCCATTGTAAAAGATTTCCCCAAGCTTAGACAAAATAGATGAAAAATAATGGAGGAATTTAGGATAGTCCTGGGGATGGGGTGGACGCCATGCTATCCCTTCAGGAATGAAAGTATTAACTGTCTCAAGGTCACCCCTGCTTTCCTGGGGCCAGAGTACACGCAATGTAATACATTGTTCCTTTTTTGAATTTTTTAGTTCAAAACCCAGATCACATTTTCAGGCTTTCTTCCTTTTAAAAATGAGCATTTAAATATACAGTTTTCCCTCTCTAAAATTATTTAGCTATATCTTATTTATTTAAATATGGGTTTCTTAAATAGTTTAATTGTATGTTCCTTATTGTTGTTATAATTTCTTCTTTCATCCTTGAGCTATTAAGAAATAAAGTCACTTATCTCCATCTTAATTACCTTACTATACAGGGGATACAGTCTGTATAATCTTTCCTTTTTGGAATTTGTTGAGGCTTGCTTTATGACCTAGTATGTGCTCAATTTTTGCAAATATCCCAATTAAACTGGGGCTGTGGGGCTCCAAGATTCACCAACTTATCAGGACAACACAAGCTCCAGTGTTTGTTTATTCCTCTGATTTTTCAATTTCTGATTGTTTCTGGACTGTGAATTTTTTTTTCAGCCATACATTAAAAATAATTTTGAAAACATTTCATGCATCAGGGATTGACTAGAGCCAAGGGTGTTAGTGGATGATTATAGAGGACATAACTTTTCAGGGTGATGAAAATGTTCTATATCTTGATTGTAATATGGTTTCAGGGGCATATATATATATTTGTCAAAACTCACTGAGCTGTACACTTAAATGTACTTAAATACATTTTATTGTACGTAAATCATGGCTCAATAAAGTTGATTTGAAAAATACTTTAGTATGTTTAGTAACTACACTGGAAGTAATTCTGTTGACTACACAGCCAGCCATATTTCTTAAAAATCACAACCAAATTTTACAAAGGTGGACTGAGAAGTTGCAAGCAACATATAGAATGTTTAAGTCAATCAGGAAGTCCTTGAAAGCCTGGAAAATGTAAATACCATAAATAAGAAGACATGTTTCAAAACCACTACAAACAATGAATAGTTATAGATCTGAATTAAGACACTTTATTGAATGTTTATAATTTTATGTTGCCTCAGCAGCCATTTTGAATATATGTTGGACTTTCTCATACTAGAAGCAGGGCTCAACTATCCTTGACACAATTTCCAGTTCTACATTACCCACCCCCAGCTCCTCAATGTGGTTCATCTAAATATCTGCCTTATAAAATATCTCCTTCATGGCCAGTCACTACAGAACAGCTAGAGTCAGCTTACTTGATGACCTGTTGACCTCACACCCTGCATGAACTGTGCAGCAGTCACTGCATCACCTCCTGGAACTTGTACCTCCTTGCTTTAAATCCACTAATTAAAACTCTTTGCAGGAAACCTGTTTGAAAAATGCTATGGACCACACTACATTGTTGACCCATGAGTTTCTTTCTTTTTCTTCCTGACTTCTGAATATATGGCTTCAAGGCCTGCCTTGGACCGTCCAGGGTCTATAAGTATTAAAACTTTAATACTTTCACATTATATCATTGAAGCCATGCCCACAATCCAGCCTCTGAGAGGGAGACCACCTGTGGATCCACGAAGGTGAATCTCTTGCTGGTGCTCCTTTGTCCAGGTGTCTGGTGGCTGCTGGAGATGGTAGCTGCCAGCTAAGTTTAGATGTTTCGTTCAAAACAGCAAGCAACACTAAAAAGGAATTAAGATATGGCATGAAGAAAGAATGTACTGGCCTCAATTTCTGATAAGGTATGGATGAACCTTCCTCATGCCAGACAAGAAAGCAGGATAGATTAGCACACTATGGTAAAATGTATTTCTTCAAATTAATAAACCTACATGAGATAATTCACATTAGCCAATAAGGCAGAATACAGTAAAATTATATAACAATAATTATTTTTCTAAGAAGTGAGGAAACAGATGAATAAAAAGTGAATCTCTCCCAGGAAAGGTAAACAGCAACTGTGGCCCAATGTCTCTGCATCTCTGGAAATAAGGAGCTGAAGAGGCTGGAAAGGTATATTGACAGAAAGCTGATATAAGAGAAGAGATGGACTAAAGATAAATTTCAGCTATTTCTGATTTCAATGTGGGTCAGACCTGCTAACTAGTAATAATTACTGCTGTTCTTTCCTTGTAAGTCTCTCCTTCCTTTCAGATCATACTGTTTCTTGTTGGTCTCAGGAATTTACTATACAATGAAATTTCTTGGATTTGAGACCAAATTCTGTTAAAAAAATAAAAAGAGACTTTAAATGATGAACCAAGAAAGACACTAAGAGGGAAAATCTATGAATATCAACAGTGCCTGTCATTCAGTGAATGAACTGTAATTGCTGACACCTTCCCAGTTGGAATAACGGGAATGTCAGCCTAAATACAGATCAGATTCAGACATCTTTCAACAAGACGTCTCTAAGGAAATACTATGTGGACATGTGTTCAGGAAGCAGTATTCAGTGGTAATGGCAGAAATTCATTCTGCAGTAAATGTTTAAAACGGTTGACAGTTTTAATATGTTTTACCTAAAGATACAGTCATTTTACTGAAGATTACTTACACCGTGGGAAATAAAAAATGTTCTTAGTAGACTGAAAAATCTATGTCCCCAAATCTCAGAGGAATCAATGAGCATTTTATTCAGCCTGCAATGAGCAGTTGTGTGAAAGAATTCCAGGACTTGCAGAGCAAATTAAACATTAATACAAATTCCCATCATGTCACTTTGTGTGTGTGTCTGTGTGTGTGTGTGTGTGTGTGTATGTGTATCTATATATATATATGTAAGTTTGACCTGATTTTCTTGATAGTGGGTGAATGTGCAACATTTGGAAGAATAAACTTAAACTGTTAATTTGATGAGTTACTATGAATATAAAAAAGAACAAAAACCAATCAAATTTATGGCATGATATTTCTCTTCTTTTAAGACAGTTGAATCACACCTATAAAATATTATCTGATGTGTAAGCTACATTTTTAGAAAGGTGGTGATTGTAGACACAGTGTTCTAAAACATAAAATTATGTGGCACTTCATTGAGTGTTTACCTTTTCAAGGGTCAGCGGTAACATTTTCATTGATCCTTAATGAACACATTGATTTTCCTAATTAATCAGGCATATTCTTAAATATCTTGGATACAAATTCACTAAACTTTTTTTCTTTCTATCATTTTATCTTTATCTTTGAGCTCATTTGAATTATGCCGATTTTGCTAGAAGCAGCTCAACATGGGAGATCAAGTTTTCATATAAGCAATAAAGGTCAGTGTTACCACACATGCTTTCAATTTGATGATATGACAATATTATCTTCATGTCTATTTTAAATGGTTTATTAATGGCCTATTATTCTGAAAGTGGAGGAAAGATTATAGCAAAAAATAGCAGCACTTGCATTTCTCAAGTTTAGAAGCAATTTGAAAATAAGACAAAAATGTTAACAAGTAGACAAAATATTGTCATTCCTACTAATGAATATATATGGTATTGGGCCTAGAATCCCTAGTTTCATCCTATTCCAGTACTAAAAGCAATTCCTCCTGCTTAGCAAACAATATCTCTATCCCATTGCTCTTTAACTATTAAAATATTTTTCTCTAAATCATAACTAGTTTAGGCAGATCTGCCTTCCTCAACAGCACATGTGCTCTGAAAAGCAAAAGTAATGTTGAATGATAGCATATTTAAGACTTGATATTTAGCCCTCAAGACCCAAATTAACACAACAAAGGTAATGTGCTTAATTCCACTAGACAGCACACTTAAAAATGGTTAAAACGTTATATATATATACACATATATATGTATATATATGTATATATGTGTATATATGTATATATGTGTATATATACGTATATATATGTATATATAGAGAGATTTCAACACACACACACACGCACATGCACACACATACACACATATACCCCCACTAAGTTTAACTCCCTGTCCCTATTCTTTATTCCTGAGACACTATTCAAATGGTCTCAACTCCTAAAGCTTTAAGTCAATAAATATATGATGTACGTTTCTTGGGCTGAGGAAAAAAATGGAATTCTTATTCATTATTTATTATAATGTGATGTCTAAAACTCCAATGTGTATAAGATATTCTAAGTACATTAAAAAATAACATCCACTCAAATAACATGGACACTATCAAATCCAATCTCTCATTTGTAATTAAAAATAGACTTCTTTTTGGGAGGTTGCTACATCCAAGTTTTCACTCTTAATTTAGAATGGTTCATTGACATGCTGCTTCTTTAAGATGTATATTTTCCTAAATGCTAGAGATAAAAATGCATTTTAAAATCATTTTCATGGTCAATATGTAAACATAATAATATACTGTGATAGAAGATTTTGCCTTGTTTGTTGTCGTGGTTGTTGAATTTAAGTCACAAGTAATGGTTTTATAATAGTGTAATAATATTTTACAGCTCAAGGCTGTTACATTGTAGTCTGAAGCACATGCAATCATGCAAATAAAATAAAATATTGTTTTAAAACCATCCAAGAGTTTATTATTAAGCAAATATTGTGTAGCTAAGGCATTTGGCAAGAAGCAGCATATTATATTTACACAGGAAGCCATTAAATATTATTTATGAGAGAGTAAACATGACTATTCACCTAATTAAATATCAAACCCAAGTATAAATTAGAGTGTGTGCTTCTCTGGAATGCTTATTGGTAAGGATCAGATATTTGTTTCTACTCTTGGATGTTAAGCACATACTATGCATTTATAAATATATCTCTGCTAGAAAGGCATTAACCAAAGGGAGAGCAGCAGGGGGAAAAAAGTAGCTTTGAATACATTTTCATTAGAAGCAGTTTACCAACATCCAAGTACAATGTTACCTGTTGTTCACTCAGGAGTTAAATATCTGTTCACCAGGGTGTGCTCATAGAGGTAACTGCTCTCACATGTTTTGTCTTAATTATAATTGGCAAACTTTCACTGTGAATTTTTCCTCGGGGACTAGTTGACAGGTTTGACTAATAAAAATAACGATGAAAATCCAAGTGTTGAAACATGTACGTTTCTGGAAGTCAACCAATGTCTGAAATGTTAACTGCTGAACAATATATCCTTTCTACCACCAAGGCATATATAGATAGCATAGAAACATGTTTTCCTCACAAAACTCCAAGTTTAAGAGCTATAGATATTGTTGATAGGGATTTTCTTCTGGGAATTCTAACTGAAAAATGTTGGATTTGTTGTTCTCAAATGTTTTAGAATATTCCCAAAAACAAGATATCTGTGGATGAATGTAGCAATTTACTTATTTGTAAGTGTACTGTATTTTATTTCTCGTTAGTGTGTGTTTGAGATACATAAAGGATGGATGTTGACATTTGGATTTCTTACCCTATACTAGCCCAGGACCATCCTAGAAACTGAAGAAATATCACTAATAAAACACCTAGTATCTATGTGGTACTTTTTCATGTGAAAAGTATTGTACCGTCTTTTCTAGATTATTTTGTTTAATTTCATGAGACTCCTAAGGAAGTAGGTACTTTTTCTACTGAAAGACACTGAAATAAAAACAGGTGAGGTAACTTACCTACCTAATTTGTTTCTATCACCTCTTTCCTACCTTTATATCTTTTATGCTCAACACATATTTATTTTCCCACTCATCCTACAATTTCTTTCTTTCCTTTCTTCCACTGCCAAATCTTAAAATGAGCATGTAGATTTTTTTCAGTGTCTCCATGTCCTCATCTACCACTCACCCTCAATTCATTACAGGATGATCTACTCTAAATAGTCTTTTACAATATAGACTATCTTTACTTAACTTTTAAAACACAGTCTTGCAAAGCTTCAAAGACTGCAATTCAGTAAGTCTTTGGTAGAATCCAGAAATCTGCATTTTTCACAAGTAACTGCTGTAGTTCTCCCTAATCTTTTTCTCAAGGATTATCAATTTCAGTTTGTCACAATTTCATAAACTATATGGGTTGGTCTTCTTGTGCGTACTTTTATATGTTGATTACTCTAACGCTATCATGTCAGCCTTCTTCCTAACCTCATTTTTGGGATTCCTTATAACCCACAACTCCAACCACTGTCTATGGAGGAATGCTTCACAGTCTAGATTTGTCTTCTGATATCTAAGTATTTGTGCAAGATGTCCAATACGACGTCTATTCCTAGATATCCCATAGAATGTTTAAATTCAATATATCTCAACCATATGATTTTCTACTTTTATGACAAACTTATACCTCATCTGTTTAGCATCCTAGTTAATAATGTCACTAACCCAACTGAGAAAACTCGCCAAATTTTCATCATTTACATCTCACATCCAACCAGCCAATATAAATTAAATCTCCACAATAAAATTAGATTGTGTGCTTACCTCTCCAGCTGCACTTCTTCAATCTTTTCTCACTGTTTCTAATTATCAAGTTGGCTTAAAATTTGTTGTCTTACACTGCAATACTTTTCCTTCCTTAACCTTTCTTGTCACATTTCTATTTTTAATATCGTTTCAAAAGTGATAATTTTGATGTACCAATATAAACATATTCCTCTAACTGATCAAAAATTTTCAGTGACCACCTCCCTTCCATAGTCCGAATGTGACAGGTGGGCTTTTATAATTTGGACTCAACCTATGTATCTGGTTTCATGGCTATGTAGTAATTGCTTGTATTTTGAATCCATCCATATAAACCACTTTTGAATATGCAAATTCACCCTAAAATTGCCTATCTTTTTCCCTTGCATGTAATTCTCTTCTTCTTAGATATTATTCTACACTTAGCTGGCTGGAATGTTTCTATTCAAACTTTAAAGCTCAGTTCAACAGACCCTTTAAATTCTTTCCTGATTTTTCCAGGTAGGGCTTTATAAATTGTGCCTGACATTTATGAAACACATTGTTTAAATAAACATTCACAATATTACTGGTGTAGTCATTTTTCCCACTTACAGATGAGGGAACTAAAGCCCTGAGAGGTTAAGCACCTTGTACAAGATCACACAGCCAAGTAAGTAGCAGAATAAAGAATTGTCTCTCGGTGTACAGGATTCTAAAACTCATGTTTTTAAATATCACACATTACTATCTCTTAATTTAAGTGTTCCTTTCCTAATGTGGCCATTGCATTTTTTCTATACTTTCATTTAAGTGATTACCATAATATATTCCTTTAAAAATATATCTGTGTTGATATCACATTGAATTTTAAACTCTTAAGGGCAAGGGCCTCATCATTTTTATTTTCATGTTTTTAAATATCACACATTACTATCTCTTAATCTAAGTGTTCCTTTCCTAATGTGGCCACTGCATTTTTTCTATACTTTCATTTAAGTAATTACCATAATATATTCCTTAAAAAATACATCTGTGTTGATATCACATTGAATTTTAAACTCTTGAGGGCAAGGCCCTCATCATTTTTGTCTTCAATGACTATCTTGTTTTTTGCTTGGTACATAGTAGGCACTTGGTGGACATTATTTAAATAAAACAGCAAACATTTAAATTTATTGTAGCATCCATAAAGTTGAAAAATAACATTAAACGGTGGCTCATACCTGTAATCCCAGCATTTTCAGAGGCCAAGGCAGGCGAATCATGAGGTCATGAGTTCGAGACCACCTGGACAACATAGTGAAACCCCATCCTTACTAAAAATACAAAAGTTATCCAGGTATGGTGGCATGTGCATGTAGTCCCAGCTACTCATGAGGCTGAGGCAGGAGAATCACTTGAACCCAGGAGGTGGAGGTTGCAGTGAGCCAAGACCACACCATTACACTCCAGCCTGGGTGACAGAGTGAGACTCCATCTCAAAAAAAAAATAATAAAATAACATATCATTGCAGTGCTATGAAAATTTGGGAATTAGGTCATTATAAGAATATATTTGTCTAAAGTCAGTTATACTGAGAACACTGCACCCTTTTTACTGGTAAAGACATCACACTCTGGGGACTGTTGTGGGGTGGGGGCAGGGGGGGAGGGTTAGCATTAGGAGATATACCTAATGCTAAATGACGAGTTAATGGGTGCAGCACACCAGCATGGCACATGTATACATATGTAACTAACCTGCACATTGTGCACATGAACCCTAAAACTTACAGTATAATAATAATAAAAAAAAAGAAAAAAAAAAAGGAGAGTCTCCACACTACCCATACAGAATGAGAACAGGGACACTTCTCTTACAAAGGTCTTTAGGAAAAAGAAATTAAAATAAGGCCAGAATCTTACTGTACAAAGATCTACATATGAAATGTAGATTGATCTCAGTGTGTTTGTCATGTATCTTTCAATTTAATAAACAGACAGTGGATGTTTCTATAGTATGTGTTCAGTCACTTTTTAAAAAATATTGAGTTAGACCCTCTGGTTTTGCCTAAGTGACTTGGCCACAAATGGGCATATCAACTAATATTAAAATGACCATGAAATTTTTTGTCTAGGAGTGTACAAACCAGATAACAGCATCAACTACGGAAGGATTCCTGGATGAATCCTTTTTCTGTTTGAGTGAATTATATGGCACAGTATGATTTAAATGAAAATAAAAATCATCCAAGTGAATTTTGAGTAATCATAGTGAAAAAAAACAGGACGTCAGACAAAAAAAATTTCACTTTTTAACAACAGAGAAGATGTTTTTAAACATATATAAATATTATTGCTAACAACAAAAAAATGATGAAACCTGAAAATGTCATTTTATGTTATTTTAACATAAAACAAATGCTTATTAGGTTTGCATTTGAATATATTTTATTTTTTCCTTTAATTTTTTTTATTTCAGTAGTTTTAGGGGCCCAAGCATTCTTTGAGGCTGGGCACTGTATGCCAACACTTTGGGAGGCATCCATTGGGAGGATCAATTTAGCCCAGGAGTTTGAGACCATCCCTGGCAACATAGTGAGACCCCGTCTGTACAAAAAATTTAAAAATTAGGTGGGCATGGTGGCGTGTGCCTGTAGCCCCAGCTACTTGGGAGGCTAAGGTGGGAGGATTGCTTGAGCCTGGGAGGTTGAGGCTGCAGCGGAGCCATGGTCACACCACTGCATGCCAGCCTGTGCGGGAGAGTAAGACCCTGTCTCAAGAAAAAAAAAAAAATGGTTTCTGATTACATGAATGAATTGTATAACGGTGAAGTCTGGGCTTTTATTGTACCTGTCAACCAAATAGTGTACATTGTACCCAACAGCTAATATTTCATCCCTCACCTCCATTGCATCCTTCTCCTTTCTGAGTTTTCAATGTCCATTTTACCACTCTGTATGTCTCTGTGTACCCACAACTTAGCTCCCACTTATAAGTAAGAGTATGTGGTATTTGTTTTTTTATTCCTGAGTTACTTCACCTAAGATAATGGCCTCCAATTCCACCCAAGTTGTAGCAAGAACACATTATTTCACTCTTTTATATGGTTTAGTGTTTTGTGGTATATATATGTATACACACACACACATATATATACACACATATATAATACACACACACACACACACATATATATATCACATTTTCTTTATTCACTTCAATTGATAGGCACTTAGGTTGATTCCATATCTTTGGAATTGTGAATTGTGCTGTCATAAATATGAAGCACAATGAAGTAGGGAAAAAAATTTGAATAGCAGCAATATAAGAGAACTTAATAGAGAAAATAAAGTTTAAAATAGCATAAAGAATTTGGTCTTAACTAGAATAAGTAAATGAGGAAAATATGATATAAAGAATTCTTTCATCAGTATTTATTTTTAAAGTTTAACCAATGACTGAACCCACAGGGCTTTTATCTGTGGAAAAACATGATTGCAAATATAGTCATTTATATAACCACAGAGGATGAAAGATATGAAAGGAAAATTAAATTTTCAATGAGGCAATTGCCAACCACTTTGCCATTCAAAATAGACTGAACTAGCAGATGCACAAAATATTTTTTATTTCATTTTTGACCTTCAGGAGTCATACTATTTGTTGGTAAGACAGCACATAGGAAATTGAACAATACCAGTAATAATCACAATAAATCAAACTTTATGAATATGAAATGCCAGACTTATTGATTTTGCTGACCATATAATCAACATTTTGTTTTTGAAAAATTCACAATACATTTTTAGACAGACAAAATATTAGAAAGACTCATTTTAATCGAGACATAAATTTGATATCTGTAGAAAGAAAATAACATTAGAATTCTTATTCTATTGAAATGCCTTGTTTTTGTTCCTCTGAGAATCTTAGAAAACTAAGGTATTATTTCAAGTTTAAGTAAATTCTATGATATAACATCTATAATTCTTAATTTTATGCAACACTGTACTGACAGAACATTTAAAACATTTAACAAACACATTATAGATATAATCGTCTGTGCCAGTTCTTTGATTTTTGCTAGTTGTAACTCATTTTATATTTACCACAACCCTGTAAGAAAGATACTACAATTACTCCTAATTTATAGATGAAGAAAATTAGACACACAAGAGTTTAGGTGACTTTCCCACAGACAAACAGCTAGCAGGTAGCAATCTTGAGAACTGACCCAGGCAATTCAGTTCCAGGCTGTTTTTAATCATTATGCTTCGGGCTTTGCAATGCTAAGAGTAAATTTATAATCCACTTATGATTTGAAGGTTTTGAAATAAATTTAATCAAACATATTTCCACAAGATAACTCACTTGTTTAAAATATATTATCAGTTTAAAATTAAGAAATTATTTATAAATATTAAAATATATTTGATAGTTAACATCATATTTCCAAGCAGTCCTAAGTAGCATGATAAAATATCGTATGTGATTTGGAAACTTGGATTCATATCAATATATTCCCAATTTAGGGAAGTCTAAACCACATAAATATTGAACAAACTTAATCAAATTGGTATCACCATAGGAATCATTTTCCTATCTATAAATGGGGATGTTAAAAAATATAAGCTATACAGATCAGGCTATGTCAATGAGACAATAATTATATGATTGAAAATATTTTTTCACATTAATCTGTGAATTGGGCTAATATCTATTTTATATTATACTTTAAATTCTGGGGTACATGTGCGGAACATGCAGGTTTGTTACATAGGTATACACGTGCCATGGTGGTTTGCTACACCCATCAACACATCATCTACATTAGGTATTTCTCCTGATGCTAACCCTCCCCTAGCCCCCCAGCCCCCAGAAAGGCCCCAGTGGGTGATGTTCCCCTCCCTGTGTCCATGTGTTCTCACTGTTCAACTCCCATTTATGAGTGAGAACATGCGGTGTTTGGTTTTCTGTTCTTGTGTTAGTTTGCTGAGAATGATGGTTTCCAGCTTCATCCATGTCCCTGCAAAGGACATGATCTCATCCTTTTTTATGGCTGCATAGTATTCTATGGTGTATATGTGCCACATTTTCTTTATCCAGTCTATCATTGATGGGCATTTGGGTTTGTTCCAAGTCTTCGCTATTGTGAACAATGCCGCAATAAGCGTATGTGTGCATGTTTCTTTATAGTAGAATGATTTATAATCCTTTGGGTATATACCTAGTGATAGGATTGCTGCATCAGATGGTATTTCTAGCTCTAGATCCTTATATAACATCAAATATATTATTTAAATTTGGCTAATTCAAATGAAATGTGAGTTGTCTGATGCCTATAAGAATAGGTATTTTTATTTCATCAGCTTTCATTCCTTTTCAGACAATCATTGGCATCTGGATGGAATTTGTTAACAGTCCCTGTAAGTAAAGGACCTCTCCCTTCATCACTCCATGATGCCTCTGTCCTACATTGTCCTCCAGCAGGCAGCTGCAGAAATGTAAGCTGGCCTAAGAGAGATGAACTGACTGTTCAGGTCATAATTAAGGATGATGGAGAAGACCAGCCTTAAACCAGAAAACAAAATCTTGGAGTGAGTCAAATCAGTAAGGTACAAAAAACAAAACAAAACCAACCAACAAACAAAAGAACAAAAACAGAAGAGCAGATGTAAATCCAGAGAGCCTGAAGCACATTTTGTAAAAATAGGAAGTACATGAACACTATGGGAAGTCTAAGAACTTATCTTCCTAATGTTCCTTTTGAATATGTCTGCTGAGTTTGCAGAGGCTTAACATGATGAATTGCTTACAAATCCACAATTGGATCCTCCTTCGAACCAGGGGTGAGACTAGGGTTCTTTGAGGATTTTTCTGGGTGAATTTGCCTTTTTGTGAGACATGCTTAGGAACATAGGTATGGGGTAGTACTTACTGAGCACAGGTGTTTCCAGCCTGTGTTGACCCACATCATCAAATATTGTAAAATGCTATAACTGGCTTGGCAGCTCAGAAAATGAGAACAGAGTTGAAAAAATGATCTGGTTCTTCTTTACCAATAATCCCAACAGGTTAGAAGATACAGGCACAGATTAAAATACTGCAAGTTATGTTCAAGATAGACCATAGAACACAATGTAAGTGTGCATGGGTTTAAGTAAGAAAGGAAAAGAGCTAGAGAAAGACTAGACAGACAGCAGAGGGGCACTGTAGTTAAGCAGTAATACAATGTTTACATTGAAGTTCATAAACCAGAAGATATACACATTTTGGTGGAGATAACACAGAGAACATAAAATTTATATTGTTTTGGTAGTATATTATGAATGATCCAATCAGATGTCAAAAATGTAAGATTTTTGTATTAAAAAATTATTTCTGGAATACTAACAATATAATAATGGTAAGATACTTATTCGCTTGAAATCTGCCTGTTTTAAGTCTCTTGCCATCTGGATTTCCAATTTCTGCCTTTTTTTTTTTTTTTTTTTTGAGACGGAGTCTTGCTCTGTTGCCCAGGCTGGAGTGCAGTGGTGCGATCTCCACTCACTGCAAGCTCCACCCCCCGGGTTCATGCCATTCTCCTGCCTCAGCCTCCTGAGTAGCTGGGACTACAGGCACCCGCCACCACGCCCGGCTAATTTTTTTGTATTTTTAGTAGAGACGGGATTTCACAGTGTTCGCCAGGATGGTCTCAATCTCCAGACCTTGTGATCTACCCACCTCGGCCTCCCAAAGTGCTGGGATTACAGGCACGAGCCACCGCACCCGGCCTCTGCCTGTCTTTGCGTCAAAGTTTTCCTCATGCTACCTCTCATTATTATAGTTTTCAATTCTGCTGCTCAAGCTGGACACCCCTTCAAATCCTAGTGTAAATTTCTTAATTTTATCTATTGCTTCATTTATTCAAATATATTTATGAAATGTTGATTTTGATAGGTACTATGAGTGGTGCTGGAGATTTATGTCCTCTCCGTTCACATTTCCACTGTTTTAATTCATTACCTCATAATTTTTCAGCTAAATCTTAGCAGTAGCAGCTGTGTTCTGCCTGATTCTAACTATGGCCTTTTCAATCTTGTCTCTTTATTATTCCTGGAATGATCTTTGTAATACACAAACGTGATTATGTCAAGTCTCTAACATATTCAAACTCTGTAGCATGACATAGAAGACCCACTGTGATATATTCTCTGCTTACTGTTGTAGACTCATCTTTTGCTACTCCTCAATTATCTCCACCTTCATCTCCTGAGCTACTTGCATCCCAAGAATGTGAACTTCTCTTTCTTCAAACAGAGCTTCAGCTCACCCTGTCTTCTTTCATTTCTGCATCCCTATACGTCATCCTTTGTGTTGTAGGATTCATTTCAGAAGACACCTCCTCTAGGAAGCCTTCTCTAACCAAACACTCGCAAAAAGGCTGTTTTGGAAACTCCTTCAATGGGTTTTAATAAATACCTGTGCCCACCTTTACCCTAAAGGCTTTTACACAGTATAATTACTATCTGTTTATCTGTTGCATCCCGCACATTAACTAAACAGCAATCTTTTGGTAGCAGAGAATGTATCTTGTTTCTGCTTGCCATATATATGTATCTCAAAAATTCTGATGAAAGAATTCCTAGAAGAATACTTTATTTGGATAAATATTAAACATCTGAAAAACCTGACAGGCTGAAAATTATATCTGAAAAAAAATGTTGAAAAGTAACAGACACAGCTGCTTCTCTGGGCATAACATGAATGTGACAGCAAGTTCCAGTTGGAAAAGAAGTAATTACAGGAAACTTCAGTCAGAGACACCTTGTTCTCTTATAGTTAATGACAGCAAAGTGACTAATGTGGGCAAAAGTCAGCATTCAGAAGTAGAAAGACAGAAAACCAGTTAGGAAAGTCTCCACAATGAAGTCCTGACTGAAAATCATGATAACTGCATCTAATAAAACAAGAGGTATGTGCCTAAAGAAATAGACAGGGCTGAACAGAAAGCTCTATGGAAAAGTCATATATGAAAAAGACAAGTTAAAAAAAGTGGAAAAAAGAGTATTATGATATCAATAATTTGCTCTAAAATACTTCAACATAGACTCTCTCTCTCTGTCTCTGAGTGTGTGTGTGTGTGTGTGTGTGTGTGTATGTGTCCACAGCCTTAATTCATACTTAAGGGACATTTAGTAAACATAATTGGAAATATACTCAAAGGGTATATATTTCTCTAGAGATAGCTTTAACAAGTTATGAAACTAGCATTATGATAATTAATAAAAATTTTATTGGTAAAATTTGTCTTTCAAAATTTGTTGATTGACCAGAATAAAAAAGGAGAAATGGCTCTAAAAAAGGAAGTGGTTGATATTTTTCTTATCTTAAACAAATAATGTATAAAATCTGGTAAGTGTATACACATAAATATGTGTATTTGCTTTCCTATTTAGTTATCTAATTTAATCGGTTATATATTGCCATGGACTCATATATAGTCATTTTATAATTTGGGTTATAATACATTACTATATTATTATTTTGTTGCCCAAACTGTTCAGACTTTGGCCATTGGAAGCTCTTTCAGTTGTCACCCGCATCTCCTTGACATACCCCATTGTTTTGTTTTATGAGCACTTCCTTTTTTATGGCTCTAAAAAATGCTCCAGGCTCACCTTGTGTATTTCCTGCCCCAGTACTAGAATTAGTCATTTCTCCAAGGAACACTGGTTCCTTTTATTAGATAATACATTAAAAAACAAGATGTGATTATGAACTGTTCTCATTGCTATTAAAGCGCCATTGCTTCCAGGTCTTATGAGCAGACAGAACCAAGAAATAAATGAACATAATCTCTGTAAATAGACATGTCTATAATTATCTATGTATCTATCATCGTCTATATTAGGTTAAAACATTAGCACCTACTGATGTCGCTAATGCTAGCTCAATACCACATGGGTCATTCTAGCCTTCCCTATGGCTAATTTGAAATTTCCCACTCCGACAGTGAGAAACATAGTTTCCCTTATTTACATATATTTTATCCTTGATTTTTAAGTGCACTGATACCCATACACTGATTCAGAGGATTGTTTGCTATCTGAGTCTGCACAGCCAAATCCTATTGCTAAAACAATGTAACATTTCCTTTAGATCTGCATGACACATGCTATTGAAGCACCAAAAGGACAGAGTATCAGAAGTCATCCAGATCACAAAAGTTATATAATTGTTCACGTTTACTTGCCAATTAGCAGCAGAACATGTGTCAGAGTTTCGTCAGGGTGACAACAGTCGCCTTCCCCAACTGTAATTATTGGAAACTAGTCATATTTACCCAAGGAGAGTCTAAGAGTTGTGCATGTCCAAATTGTCTGTCAGTTTTCAGTATAACATACAATCAAGAAGAAACATAAAATTTGGCCTGGGTTTGTAAGTATATCACCAGTATCAAAGATGATTTCTCAATAAACTTAGATTTATGTTTAATAAAAAGGTCACATAAAGGATTTTTTTTAGTTTACTTTGAGCATGGAAGAAGACTGGACTTGTCCATATATTTCTTCATTCCAGAGCATCGACCAGCAATGACGATCACAATAAGAATGAATGACATTGTGGTATCGCTCCTCTCCTATTTTTCTTCTGTCTTTATTGAAGAGAATACTCTTCAGATGAGCCGGGGCTGGTGGCTCACTTCTGTAATCCCAGTCCTTTGGGAGGCCAAGGCGGTGGATCACATGAGGTCAGGAATTTGCGACCAACCTGGACAATATGGTGAAATCCCATCTCTAATAAAAATACAAAAATTAGCCAGGCACTGTGGTGGGTGCCTGTAATCCTAGCTACTTGGGAAGCTGAGGCAGGAGAATTGCTTGAACTTGGAAGGCGGAGGTTACAGGGAGCCGATATTGCACCACTGCATTCCAGCCTGTCTCAAAAAAAAAAAAAAAAAGAGAGAGAGAGAGGGAATACTCTTCAGATATGAAAGAATATGCTAAACTTAGATGAGAACAAATTAAAGAACAAGATGGTAAAGATAAACTAAAGTGTAAACCTAAGCTTTACCAATGAGACTAGGCCTCTTAGTCTAAATTAACTACATTCTGGAGTAGTAAGTCAAACTTCAGAGATCTCAGAACTACCAACATCAATATTGGTACAATAGTAAAAATGTGCTTTCAAGATGTTTAATATAAATGTGGACTAAATGTGTTGTTTTTTGTTTGAATTCAAAACAAACAGGTAAGGATGTGTGGAAGTTATCACATATTCTGTGTCAATGTAAAAGAAAACTTTCTAATAATATTGGATGTTCAAAAATGTAAAGAGATGCTGAAAAGATAGTGAAAAACTTATAATTGTTCCAGTACTTATGAGATGAGAGATAATTGTGGAGAAAGCACCCTTCATCATGTTGGGATTAGATGGCCTCTAAGCAGACCTCTGGCTTTGAGATACTATCTTCCCTTCATAGCCCATCTCATAGGCATGGATATTACAAAATCATGTTTAATTCTACTGCTAATAGGCTAATAAGCTGTTATGTTCCTCTTGTGCACCTTTTATTTTAACTCTTCTGGCTATAGAAATTTAACTAATAAATTTGAAAAATTCTGTATATAACTTTAGAAAACATGAGTGGCTCAGAGTAGGTGCTAATTCATTATGTTTGAAGTTGAGCATTCTTTTTAGAAAAGTTATCTCTTAGTGATGTTTTTATTTAGAGTTTAAAGCATGTGTTGGTGTTAATAAGTTCTTAGAAGTAAAGTTATAATGAAACAAAAATATAAAAAATGGGGGCAAGTGGGCCTCTAACTTTATTTTTTATCATCATCATCATTATTATTATTATTTTACAGACAGGGTCTTGCTGTATGGAGACAATGCAGCTCTAGCCTCACTGTAACCTCAAACTCCTAGGCTCGAGTGATCCTCCACCTTAGCCTCCTGAATAGCTAGGATTACAGGCGAGCACTTCCATGATTGGCTAACCTTTTTATTTTTATTTTTATTTTTGTAGATATGATGCCCTGGCTGGTCTTGAACTCCTGGACTCAAGCAACCCTCCCGCCTATGCCTCCCAGAGTGCTGTGATTATAGACTTGGGCCACCACCACCATGCCTGACTGGGCCCCTAACTTTAATAGAGCCCCTAACTTAGCTAACGGGCCACTAAGTTTAACCATTAAAATGACATAGAAATTATTTAATTCAATGAAAAGTATGAATTAGATAACTGGAATAAATTATTTATTGCCTATACCTATATTAGTATGATATACAGAAAATGAAAAATTCAGTTGAAAGAATTACAATATATCTGATTTGAGATTAAAAAATAAAATGTTTAAATATACCTATATATTAGAAATGAATTGATAAGGCCCTGCCAAAAAAGAAAACTTGTATTTAAATAAAACATATACATAGAAACTTTAAAACAATAGTGGGCTTTTCCCCCTGAAATGAGAGTCACCTACTTAAATCTGCAGGTTTAAATACATGGGATCACAATTTTTTTTAATATGGTAGGAAGTTAAAATTCCATTGCATTTATTCATTCAGTAAATATTGATTTCATGCCTATTCAGTATTAGATGTTGATACTGTATTAGGTATTGAAAACTGAGAGAAAACAAGAGAGTCCCTGCCCCTTTAAAGCTTATGTTCAGCAGAAAAATACAGCTATTAAATATTTAATTACTTAACTCTTCAGTTTATCATAAAGAAAGATATCCAAGATAATATTGAGATTGTTATCAAGGGAAATATCTTGAGACCAAAGAGAAAAAGGGGACAAGAGTCTTTTGTGGAAAAGATCACTGAGAGGAATTTATAAGCCTAAGAAGGAATTCGTCAGGAAAAAGTGAGCAGAAGACGCTTACAAGAAGAGAATAAAACACGGAGAGAGATCCTGAAGTAAGAAGGAACATGTGTATTTATGAGAGTTAAAATGGTTCATGTTCCTGGGTTGCATAAATGGGAGACAAAGGGACAGTCCTGTTTAATGACCTCAGAATTAGGCAGGGACTAGAGCAGGAATAGCAGCATAAGCATATCCTTCCATCTAAAGTTCAACAAGTAAAGCTCTTCCAAAGTTTTTGCTATGATAACATTTGAATAAAACGTGTAGTTGTAATTTCTTGATTCCTTTCTTGTTTCTTTCATGTTTATTAACCATCCAAATCACAAATGATGTTGTATGTGTGTTTTTCAAATCTCATGTAAAGACTTTTGAACTACCTTGAAAGTGAGATATATTAAACTTGAATACAGTAAATAAATATAAATAGTCTATTATATTCCCAACTTTACAGCATAGTAAGTTACTTGCAAATAAATGCAAAAATAATATATTCTTCTGAAACAATGTCAAAAGGTTAAAAATAAAATCTAGCATATGCAATCAACTGCAGCTTGAATAAATAACATTCTAATATTAAGCATGTGATATAGTTTGGAAGAGGGAGACAATGAATATATTGCATAGTACTGAGACAAAATAAACATATTCCTCTATTTATTTATTTTTTTATTTTTATTTTTTTATTTATTATTATTATACTTTAAGTTTTAGGGTACATGTGCACAATGTGCAGGTTAGTTACATATGTATACATGTGCCATGCTGGTGCGCTGCACCCACTAACTCGTCATCTAGCATTAGGTATATCTCCCAATGCTATCCCTCCCCCCTCCCCCCACCCCACAACAGTCCCCAGAGTGTGATGTTCCCCCTCCTGTGTCCATGTGTTCTCATTGTTCACTTCCCACCTATGAGTGAGAACATGCGGTGTTTGGTTTTTTGTTCTTGCGATAGTTTACTGAGAATGATGATTTCCAATTTCATCCATGTCCCTACAAAGGACGTGAACTCATCATTTTTTATGGCTGCATAGTATTCCATGCTGTATATGTGCCACATTTTCTTAATCCAGTCTATCGTTGTTGGACATTTGGGTTGGTTCCAAGTCTTTGCTATTGTGAATAATGCCGCAATAAACATACGTGTGCATGTGTCTTTATAGCAGCATGATTTATAGTCCTTTGGGTATATACCCAGTAATGGGATGGCTGGGTCAAATGGTATTTCTAGTTTTAGATCCCTGAGGAATCGCCACACTGACTTCCACAACGGTTGAACTAGTTTACAGTCCCAGCAACACTGTAAAAGTGTTCCTATTTATCCACATCCTCTCCAGCACCTGTTGTTTCCTGACTTTTGAATGATTGCCATTCTAACTGGTGTGAGATGGTATCTCATTGTGGTTTTGATTTGCATTTCTCTGATGGCCAGTGATGGTGAGCATTTTTTCATGTGTTTTTTGGCTGCATAAATGTCTTCTTTTGAGAAGTGTCTGTTCATGTCCTTTGCCCACTTTTTGATGGGGTTGTTTGTTTTTTTCTTGTAAATTTGTTTGAATTCATTGTAGATTGTGGATATTAGCCCATTGTCAGATGAGTAGGTTGCAAAAATTTTCTCCCATTTTGTAGGTTGCCTGTTCACTCTGATGGTAGTTTCTTTTGCTGTGCAGAAGCTCTTTAGTTTAATTAGATCCCATTTGTCAATTTTGGCTTTTATTGCCATTGCTTTTGGTGTTACAGTGTTGGAAGTTCTGGCCAGGGCAATTAGGCAGGAGAAGGAAATAAAGGGTATTCAATTAGGAAAAGAGGAAGTCAAATTGTCCCTGTTTGCAGATGACATGATTGTATATCTAGAAAACTCCACTGTCTCAGCCCAAAATCTCCTTAAGCTGATAAGCAACTTCAGCAAAGTCTCAGGATACAAAATCAATGTACAAAAATCACAAGCATTCTTATACACCAACAACAGACAAACAGAAAGCCAAATCATGAGTGAACTCCCATTCACAATTGCTTCAAAGAGAAGAAAATACCTAGGAATCCAACTTACAAGGGATGTGAAGGACATCTTCAAGGAGAACTACAAACCACTGCTCAAGGAAATAAAAGAGGATACAAACAAATGGAAGAACATTCCATGCTCATGGGTAGGAAGAATCAATATCGTGAAAATGGCCATACTGCCCAAGGTAATTTACAGATTCAATGCCATCCCCATCAAGCTACCAATGACTTTCTTCACAGAATTGGAAAAAACTACTTTAAAGTTCATATGGAACCAAAAAAGAGCCCGCATCGCCAAGTCAATCCTAAGCCAAAAGAACAAAGCTGGAGGCATCACACTACCTGACTTCAAACTATACTACAAGGCTACAGTAACCAAAACAGCACGATACTGGTACCAAAACAGAGATATAGATCAATGGAACAGAACAGAGCCCTCAGAAATAACGCCACATATCTACAACTATCTGATCTTTGACAAACCTGAGAAAAACAAGCAATGGGGAAAGGATTCCCTATTTAATAAATGGTGCTGGGAAAACTGGCTAGCCATATGTAGAAAGCTGAAACTGGATCCCTTCCTTACACCTTATACAAAAATCAATTCAAGATGGATTAAAGACTTAAACGTTAGACCTAAAACCATAAAAACCCTAGAAGAAAACCTAGGCATTACCATTCAGGACACAGGCATGGGCAAGGACTTCATGTCTAAAACACCAAAAGCAATGGCAACAAAAGCCAAAATTGATAAATGGGATCTAATTAAACTCAAGAGCTTCTGCACAGCAAAAGAAACTACCATCAGAGTGAACAGGCAACCTACAAAATGGGAGAAAATTTTCACATTTTCAAATGCGACAAGGGGCTAATATCCACAATCTACAATGAACTCAAACAAATTTACAAGAAAAAAACAAACAACCCCATCAAAAAGTGGGTGAAGGACATGAACAGACACTTCTCAAAAGAAGACATTTATGCAGCCAAAAGACACATGAAAAAATGCTCACCACCACTGGCCATCAGAGAAATGCAAATCAAAACCACAATGAGATACCATCTCACACCAGTTAGAATGGCAATCATTAACAAGTCAGGAAACAACAGGTGCTGGAGAGGATGTGGAGAAATAGGAACACTTTTACAGTGTTGCTGGGACTGTAAACTAGTTCAACCACTGTGGAAGTCAGTGTGGCGATTCCTCAGGGATCTAGAACTAGAAATACCATTTGACCCAGCCATCCCATTACTGGGTATATACCCAAAGGACTATAAATCATGCTGCTATAAAGACACATGCACACGTATGTTTATTGCGGCATTATTCACAATAGCAAAGACTTGGAACCAACCCAAATGTCCAACAATGATAGACTGGATTAAGAAAATGTGGCACATATACAGCATGGAATACTATGCAGCCATAAAAAATGATGAGTTCACGTCCTTTGTAGGGACATGGATGAAATTGGAAATCATCATTCTCAGTAAACTATCGCAAGAACAAAAACCCAAACACCGCATGTTCTCACTCATAGGTGGGAAGTGAACAATGAGAACACATGGACACAGGAAGGGGAACATCACACTCTGGGGACTGTTGTGGGGTGGAGGAGGGGGGAGGGATAGCATTGGGAGATATACCTAATGCTAGATGACGAGTTAGTGGGTGCAGTGCACCAGCATGGCACATGTATACATATGTAACTAACCTGCACATTGTGCACATATACCCTAAAACTTAAAGTATAATAATAATAAATTTTGAAAAAAGAAAAAAGAAAAAAAAAGATATTTTCTGTAACACTAATTTCATAATTTTTATACAAGATAATGGTTATATTCTAGATGTAAGAGAAATGATTTCAAAATCTAATGGTAGAATAATGAAACATGAAAATAAATTTTAAAAATAATTAAATGACAACTAAAATAGTAACTTCAAAATGAGATTAATGGAATAAAAAACAAAGAGAATAAAACATCCATAATGTGTTTAATAAAGTACCCATAATATGTTTAAAAATTTAAAGTGATAATAATAAAAGACAAAAACTATGCTGAACACTAATATTTATTACTAGTATTGTTGGACAATTAGAAAAAAAATTACTTGTTTTAGACCAGCTGTAAAAGTTAAACTTAAGTCTTTACTTGAGAAGTAACAAACAAACAAACAAAATCTTTCAATTGTGAACTGATTTCTGATACTGAGAACAAGTCTATGATTACACTGCTAACATTGATGGTGAAGGAGAAGTATGTAAGACAGAAGTCCGGCTGAAAAATCTATCAGTGTTCCTTAACTAATGATGTAAGTTATTCTTTAACTAATGGATGTTAAGGAATTCCTTAACTAATGATGTAAGTTCCTTAACTAATGATACGTGTAACTGGGAGAAATAGCCTCAAATACACTGAGATTGATGACATTATATGGAGCAATTAGGTATAATATTTCACATTTTCCAGCTCTTGCCAAGATAAAATTTTTAAATTTATATTTTATTTTTAATTGACATATAATGATTTTATATATTTATAAGGCAGAATGTGATGTCTTGGTATGTGTATCTATTGTGGAATGATCAAATCAGGCTAATTAACACATCCATCACCCCATATATTTATCATTTCTTTGTGGTAAGAACATTTAAAATACATGCTTTCAGCAATTTTGAAGTATATAATACATTATTGTAACTATAATCAACATGCTGTGCAGTAGATCACCAGAGATATCTTGATAAGACACATATCAAATTTTGACTCAACAACCTCTCTCAAACGCATAATGAAAATATAACATGTTGCTAACCCAATTACATTTCATTTAGCCAAGATACAATGTATCAGAAGAGTTATGAAAAAAAATCCCACATAATGAGCAAAGCATGGTCTAACAAAAAACCTTAAATTTGAGTATATCAATAGCTACATAGTATAAGAAATTTTTCTGCTAATACTAATGTTAACACATCCTTTAAAAAACTAGATAAATCTAAGTTTGGCTGTTTCACTTTTTAAAGGATGAAGAAGTTTGGTATTTTTCTATTAAAAGAAACTTCATGTGAAATTAGCAAAAAAAAAAAAAAAGGTAGCAATCCAGTAAAATACAACTCAGAAGCAAAAATGTTTGTCTACAGGAAAAGATCCACTTACAAAAAGTAATGAACTACTTCATATGGTCTATTTCCTAGTCACTATAGACTAAGATAGTCTTAATTAAACAGAGATGACATATTGAGAAACATAATACTGCTTTTTAAAAGATGATACTGTATTTCCTAACATTCCAGCATTAAAATATTTGAAAGAAGGACTTGAGAAAAAAATGTATGGGTCTACATTTTACTATATTATGAATATTATGATTATAAATAATAATGATTTATATGATAATGTTAAAATATGTTGCACTATTTATATAATGATAATCCATAATATGCAACCACATATTTGAAAATTATATATTGAAATGTATATTTCTTTTTCCAATTTAGATATTGTTTTAAGAAATTTATTGACAATTCCATCTGCTATTATGTTGGCAAAGATAAATACCCTCAAATTTAAATTCAGAAAATGATATATAAGACTATAAAGATTAAACAGAAGTTTGGAATACAAATTATGAGAGAATATTTATTATAACAACATGACTACTGATTTTGCCAAAACGAAGGAAATAAATTTTATAAATCAATAATTTGTAAATGACGAGTTTAATCCAAGTATTTTCAGCACATCAAAGAAGGCCAGACATGGGCAATATTAATTAAATTGAGTCATTTTTATCGTGATTTTTTGCCAGTGTTTAGTAATATAAAAATCATACTTTTTCAAGTTTGTATTTATGAAATTATATTTGTATGAGTAAGTAAGCAGAACATATTTTATGTAAAGTCTGTTAGTTTGATATGCATCTTTTAAATATTTAGACATAGGTGGGCTTCCAATTGTAACAATGCTTTTGCTTACACAATTGTTAGATATCTGGGCAGGTGTTAAATTGGTAAACTAGTAGAGGGGGTAGCACAAGGAGGCGGGGAAGTATATAAGACATTAAAAATAGCATAAATAATAGGCTAAACTTGTTAAATAACTTTTTCCATTTAAGAAACAGAAATATTTTTAATATACTAAAACATTGCCTATGTGATAAAATGAGAGAGGGAGATGTAACAGTAGAGGAATGGTAAGTATTTTATGTTATATCCACAAAATAAAATGCTATGCAGTTATAAAAATTAAATTTTTAAAGCCTATTAAATTCATAGGTAAATGCTTACAATATAAATTTAAGTACATAGTAAAAAATAAGACCAGCTTTATACTCTAGTCTGGATAATCTCCTTGTCTTTGCTTTCACTCTCACTCCGATCATTCTGATGACTCTCTTGGGCTCTCTCTCTTGCATGCATTCTACCTATTGATTTATTTATATATATAAAAGATACAAGTAAGTAGTCTAAAATAAAGGTAACTTTTAAACATTTTTATTTGTTTTTCGTTGTTTTCCACGTTTTTTGAAATAACACATATTACTTTTATAATAATAAAAATATATAAGCTATTTTGTTTTATGTTTAGGGAAAATATGATTGTTTCATTTTTAAGAAGCTTAAAATACCAACAATAATGTATCTTCTCACCCACATCTCAGACGAAATGGAATACATAAAGCATTCTATTAACTGGACTCTAATTTTATATCAGTTAGGGATAATCTGTTATACATTTCTTTAATCTCTCACAGTGCCTAGCCCATTATTTTAATATAATTATAACCCCCAAAAACGTATTGAAACATGAGTCCAATACTCCTCCATCATAAAAATTGAATTTCTCAATATTAGGGTGAAACTGAAACGAGAGGCACAGAAAACGAACTAATGACAACAAAAGATAAATTGAATTCCTTGAAAACCAGTTACTTTATAAAAATGACAAACTATCTTGTGAAAGAAGCTTCAGGTTAATTTTTTGTTGTTCTTTAAGTCTACTTGTGAAGAGAGAACATCATTAGTATTTGCAGAGATTGATGGAGCAAGTGAGAGGGCCAGTATGTGCCATAATGACTTGCTATTATCCCCACTAATAACATGTGAGAAAACAAGAAACACAGGTAGATATGTACACATAACTTAATAATTAGAATCCCTTCTTATCTTCCCCAAATGATGGAGGAGGGACTTAGGAGGAAAAAAGTAAGTCAGAATTTACCCAGAAAGAATCCAGACTGTTCTGATCCCTGTTTAAAAGAACCGTAGCACAAAGTTGGATCCACAGGATTTCAAAGGTAGTTTTATACCAGGGGCTCTTTGAGTTAATGTTTTGAGAGCTATTATGGTCCAAGCACTCCTTTGTTTTCTACTCTCTCCTTTTGTGTTTTACTCTGTCATAAAACAAGCACAGGATTTTTTCAATATTAGAAGTCTGTGATTACAGGTAGCATTTAGATGGGTAGACAGCAGAGCTGCAGAAAATATTTGAAAGGCAGTATTTTAATTACCTGTTTGTTACAAAACTAAGTGATTGAAAATTTATTTGCTTCAAATAACCACTATTTCTTTGCCCACAATACTATGTGTTGGTGTTTAGCCAGGGCTTAGCTGGGGAACTAATCTAAGTTCCATGTGGGAATAAGTGAGTGCTACTCATGCATTAATAGTCAATTGGCAAGTTGTTTTGTGGCTGGCAAGTCACAGATGGCTTCCCTTGTTTATGACCTCAACGAAGACTCCTGACCAGGGTGCTTCTGTTTTCTGCATAACTTTTCCAGGAGAATAGCCAAGACTTCTTAACATGGAGGCTGAATTTCGAGAGGGCAAGCCTCAACATGCCAGCATGTACCAAGTTTTTGTTAGAATTGTTTTTGTTGTCCTTTTGGCCAAAGCAGCTCACAACGACAAGCCCAGAGTCAATACGGAAGGAGACTATACCAAAGTGTGGGTACCATATGAGGCCAGCAGAAAGCTCTGCAGTGGGGCTTTCAAGCAGCTCAAGCAAATGTCCTAAAACTTTTGGAGCTGGATGAATGTACTAAATGCCAGTAATTGTATAACTTAAAATAGTTAATTTTGTGTTAGATGAATTTTACCTCAATAAGAGAGAGAGAGAAATATCTTAAGGTGTGTATTCAATTAAGACAATGCAGACATACTACACAATTTTTATATATATATATATATATTTTTTTTTTTTGAAATGGAGTCTCACTCTGTCAACCAGGCTGGAGGGCAGTGACATGATCCCGGCTCACTGCAACCTCCGCCTCCCAGGTTTCAGCTATTCTCCTGCCTCAGCCTCCTGAGTAGCTGGGATTACAAGCATGTGCCACCAAATCCAGCTAATTTTTGTATTTGTAGTAGAGATGGAGTTTCGGCTAGTCAGGCTGGTCTTGAACTCCTGCCCTCATGTGATCCTCCCATCTCAGCCTCCCAAAGTGCTGGGATTACAGGCATGAGCCACCATGCCTGGCCATATATATATATATATATATATATATCTCAACTGTGTGTGTATATTTAAGTATAGTATGTATACAATTCTCGATAAGAGAATACATTATTATATATAACACATTACATGTATATGTATACACTATATATATTTTATATATATATAAAGGATTCTTACTCTGCATCAATAAATCATATAGATATTTAATTATACAATGGACCTTGGGGACTTGCGCAAAAGGGTGGGAGGAAAGTGAGGGATAAAAGACTACAAATTGGGTACAGTGTATGCTGCTTGGGTGATGGGTGCACCAAAATCTCACAAATCACCACTAAAGAACTTACTCATGTAACCAATCACCACCTGTTTCCCATAAACCTATGGAAATAAAAATAAATAATTATATAGATAGTTATCTGCATATTAATCTAAACTCTAAGAGACTTTGAATAAACTTTTTTTTTTTGAGATGGAGTTTCACTCTTGTTGCCCAGGCTGGAGTACAATGGCTCGATCTCAGCTCACTGCAACCTCCGCCTCCCAGGTTCAAGTGATTCTCCTGCCTCAGCCTCCCAAATAACTGGGATTGCAGGCATGCACCACCACACCCAGCTAATTTTGTGTTTTTTAGTAGAGACAGAGTTTCTCCATGTTGGTCAGGCTGGTCTCGAACTCCTGACCTCAGGTGATCTGCCCGCCTCGGCCTCCCAAAGTGCTGGATTACAGGCGTGAGCCACCGTGCCCGGTCTGAAGAAACTTTTTATCAGTGAAAATTCCATAATAGTTTAATGGAAAGAGAAAAGTCACATGTTAGATGGACCTCTTTCATAAACTTTCTTTATATTCTTTTAAAAAACCTTACCTCTTCTATTTATTGTTTGGTTGAAAACTAAATTTTTCAGAAGATATAAGTTAACCAAAAAAGTCTGGCATTTCTCTTCAGAGAAGAAGCACTAAACACATAATCTTCTCACTTACTTTACTTCAAATAAATATTTCAACTGTATTTTGTTCAAGAAAAATTTCTCTAATTTTCAGAGATGAGGTCCAGATTACTAATAAGAAGCTTTTTATCAGCCTGCCTGTCACTTCCTTGTAAGTGGCCTGTTTTTTTGTTTTTTATTCACTGTTAGAAGGATTTGAAGTTTGCATTTACACTTCAAAGTAATAGTTGCCAGTGTTCAGGGATGGGTGAGGGAATGGTGGGTATGATTATTAAAGGTTAATAGGAGGCAGATTTTTATATTCATGAAGTAGGTCTGTATCCTGATTGCAGGGGTGGTTACAAAAATCTACACTTGTGATAAATGACATAGAACAATGAAACATCAGTAAAATAACATTTTATCAATGTCAGTTTCCTTGTTTAGATATTATACTATAATTATTTAATATGTATCCATTGGGAGATAAATAAGAAATTGATACACAGAAGCTGTCTGTCCCTATCTTTCCAACCTTCTATGAATCTATAAGTATTTCCAAATAAAAAAGTTAAAAATTGCCAGGGTCTGTATTTGTGTGTGTCTACCTTGTTCCTGCTCAGTGATTAGTATAATTTTAGGAAAACATTAGAAAATTTTGGGAATTGAACAATGAGAACACATGGACACAGGAAGGGGAGCATCACACACCGGGGCCTGTTGTAGGGTGGGGGGAGGGGGAGGGATAGCATTAGGAGATATACCTAACGTTAAATGACAAGTTAATGGGTGCAGGACACCAACATGGCAAATGTATACATATGTAACTAACCTGCACGTTGTGCACATGTACCCTAAAACTTAAAGTACAATAAAAAAAAGAAAATTTTAAATCTAATTTTGTTGTATATTTTCTTTACCCTATTCTCCCTTTTTTTCCTTTTTTTCTTTTAGTTGTCCACTAAAAGGATCTATAAAGGATCTTTGTAGACAATGTATTTTAATTTTTTCCCCTTTCCTTTTATCTGGCACATAATCCTGTAGAAGAGAAATAAGTTTTTCTTGTAGAAGAGAATATGTTTTTAAAAACTTTTTAAAAAAATTCAACAGTTAAAAAACTTATAATAAGAATTCACAACTACAAAGGAAATACCTGCTTCTTCTCTTAAGTCATGAACCAGATATTGAAATGATGCATAAACTAAGATCCTTGATGCGTTTAGGTTTAGATATTGTCCAGTAACTTGTTAATGCAAGTTTGTTGTAAATTTCTTCAGACTAGAGACATCAAATTTTAATATCTATCCCACAAACTATAAGCTAAACCAGCTTTTCAATAATTCTTAGAAATTAAAGATCCACAGAGTGAAACAATAATATTTAAAAATTCAGAATGTTCACATAATAATTACTTTAAACATAAGTTTATATCCTACCAAAATCATTTTTCAATTTTCTTGATTATTTCAAACAAACTACATGGACTTCTACTCAAATATAAAACTTTAGATGTACAAAAACAGGCTCTTTCATTAAAATATTTAACTAAAGGCCTCAACTGTTTATATTGTTTGGCAAGAACACATAATATAAAAATGTTATTTTTTACTAGAGAAAAAATGTAAGTCAAAATAAATCTTCCAGGAAACTTTAACTTCATTTTGATTAATCAATTGGAAATTAATCATTTCTTTGTTTAGTTCAAATGCCTGTCATTTTTGTTTTCATTTCTGTACATACTGAGACACTTTTTTAAATATAACAAATGATTTTAACACAAAGATAATGTTTCATGGCTTTCACTTTATTATAACTATTTTAAATTTAAAGAGAGTGACAATTTTAATTTGTTATATTCTTCTCCCAATGGATACATTATTCTGCCTCCAAAATCACTCAAAGTTAGGGTGAACCAGGATCTGTTCAATTATATACTAATCTTCAAGTCTGAAACTTTTATGTTACTCTCTTGAAGATTTAGAAATGTCATTAGGACTATATAGAACTCTGGGATAATTTTTTTCTAACATCACAAGGAAGGAAAATATCAGTCAAATAGGATACCAAATATAGCTATTATTTATGACCAGTTTATTTCTTAATAATTTTTATTTACATAGAATATATTAAAATACATCTTGAAAGATACTTTATTAGTGTGGACAAATTAACTAGTTTTCATAAATCTAAATTATTAATAAAAATTAAGCTTAAAAAGAACCATATGCATTCTCAGTAAATCCATTTAATTCAAAAGTCCTAGTTACAACTCCTTATCATTTGTGGCCAAGGCCTGATAAAATAAACAAATAGGAAGTTAAACATTAAGTGTACCTTCCACTAATATAGAAAGGATTTAAAAGAATCGTATTTCCATTTTATAGCTTAGCTAGAAGGGAGTAATTTAAATGGATTTGGAAAATCAATATTGATTTAGACCTGTATTTAATTGCATAAAAAGTATCTATGGCATATTGAGTGGGAAAAATAGGTATATTTATTTTTCTATAATACACACTAGGAACTAGGTTTACTGGTCAGGATCCAGTTAGGAAATCAGAAACCAATCTAAGCAAGGCAGTGAGGGATTCAATGCAGGAATCTGTTACACATGTGATGGAATTAGGGCGATGAGACCAGGCAGGAGCTTTCCTGCTTTCATTACTGAAACTACTGATGCTGCTGCCTCGGGCACATAATCACCTGTAGCTACCACCAAGGCTTATGCTAGAAACAGAGGCAGAATGCCTTTTCCCTCCCAGCAGGAATCTTACTTCTTTCCAGAGACTACTATTGGCAGAACCTATCCAATCCTTGCAATACCCAGCTGCAAGGGAGTTTAGAAAATGTAATTTTCAGGCTTCAGGATCCTTGTTATGCAGACAACACAGAAGAATTAGAATAGAGCACTAATAAGTATTTCAGAAATGGCAAGCAAAGGTTTTGACCATTCCCATACGGAAAGCTTATTTTTCCTGAAGAAAAACATTATTAAATCTAAGAAAAATGAAACATTATATCTGCTTTAGCTACTAAGAAGGAGAGATAGTGCTATAAGACTACATACTATGACGAATTTGTCTAGAAAGAGGGGATAAAAAAGTTTCTTTGAGAAAATGGCAATGTAACCTGACATATGAAGTTGTCATATATGCTAACTTGGGAAAGAATGGAGGGAAAAACATCCCAGGTAGAAAGATCTGTGTAAGATAATATGTACAAATAAGGTACCATTAGAAATCCACTGTGGCTAGATCAGAGAGTCAAAGGGAGAGAGAAGTTATGAATGGAAGCTGCTAAAGTAGATAGGTTATAAAAGAATATGTACAACAAAGTACTATTTATTTAAAATAGTACACACATTTATAATATTCTGATAAGACTAAAAAAATCCTTCCTACCTTAATATATTCACCAGCAAAGTAAAATAAGAATATTACTTGAAATGGCAAGACAATTTTTCTGAATATAAAGTTTTCTTACTTCTTTCTCGCTCCATTTTAACTCTTTTTTTTTACTTTCTTTTTCTTTCCTTGTGATGGTTCATTTTAAACAATTTTTTCTGCTTCCCTGACTTACATATTTGATCAACCATCTATATTGGAAGAAAATACCTTTTTCAATCAAAATTCAAGTAGACTTTCTTTAACAAAAAGCAGGTTTTCCACATACTTACACTGCTTATTTGGCTCACTGCCTCGTATTGGGCCCACACATTTTCAAAAGACAGGAATGGCAAAAGGATAAGAAACGTAAGGAAATTAAATTGGTTACAATCTGTAAAAGTATCCAATCTCCCTTTACCCTTAATTAGGCTGTATTTTATAAGCACTGCAACTATGTTTCTATAAATATTCATGCATATACATTCAATATACATATATTAATATTAAAAATTATTTCTAATGCTCAAAGAATCAATACACTAACAATACACTGAAATGCTGTGCCAGAGCAGTCTGGTAGGCTCTTTCCAAAGGGCTACTTCTGGACAGTAGACCTCAGGCTATAGTCCTTGGTGAAAGATTTCTGAATAAAATCAACTTTAATTCTTTTAAAAGGTTGATTTTGGCTGGTAGCAGTGGCTCACGCCTGTAATTCCAGAAGTTTGGGAGGCCAAGGCAGGAGGATCACTTGATCCCAGGAGTTTGAGATTAGCTGGGGCAATATAGTGAGACTTTCTCTCTACAAAAAATAAAAATAAAAATGAGCTAAGCCTGGTGGCTCTCACCTATAGTTCCTGCTACTCAGAAGGCTTAGGTGGGAGGATCACTTGACCAAAGGAGGGAGAGAAGGTTACAATGAGCCAGGATTATACCACTGCATTCCAGCTGGTACAACAGAGTGAGACTCTGTGTTTTGTTTTTTTTTTCTTTAGTCAACAGAGGCTTACGTTTAAACACTCACAATTGTGCATTTGACTTGAAGTTTGTTTGTGTTTTCCCTATAATTTGTTAAAGAAACTGGGCCAGAATGCACTCTGCCTAACAGTAGTTCAACTTGTTCTTTTGGTAAATGCCTTCAAGTTTTACCTTGTTTCTCAAAAGGGCAAGTTTCTGAGGCTTCTTTTCAAATAGAAATGATCAATTCAAGAAACTTATTTGAGAGTGTGTTCGGCCGTTCTTGCATTTATATAAAGAAATACCTGAGACTGGGTAATTATTTAAAAAGGAGGCGGGGTGGTTAGATGAATCACAGATGTGCAGGCTGTACAGGAAACATAGTGCCAGCATCTGCTTCTGGGGAGTCCTCTGGAAACACAATCATGGTGAAAGGCAAAGCAGGACCTTGCACATCACATGGGCAAAAGCAGGGGAGACAGAGAGAGACAGAGAGAGAGGCCATACGGTTTTAAACAGCCAGATGTCATGAAAAGTCACTCACTATGGTGAGGACGGCATCAAGGGGGTGGTACTAAGCCATTCATGAGAAATCCACCCCCATGATCCGCTGACCCCCGACTAGGCCCTACCTCCAACACTGGAGATTACAATTAAACATGAGATATGGGCAGGGACAAGTAGTATCAGAGGACTACCCAGAAGCTTTTCCCTTCTCCCTACCAGCCAGAGGAGAAACAATAAATTATCAGAAATTATGGGGTTTGACCAATATCGCTATACATTAACAGTGAGGGAGGAGAACATGATAGGGGATTACCCACAACCACTGTAGTTTTTCTTATTTCTATCCCTGTTTAGTCCCGAATGATTATTCTTGTTCTGAATGATTATTATCTAGATTATCTCAGGTATTTCTACTAGTCACATTAAAACAAAATGGCAAATTTTGCTAATTTCTCCCCCCCAAATTTTGATAAATAATAATTTACCACTAGTGGTAAGAAAGAGCTTTTATTAGAGTGATATTTTTCATCTTTTCTCCCTTTTAAAGTATCTCCAAGCTCTCTCATTTATTTCTCCTTCAATTTCTCTAGTTATAACCAGCCTCTTTTGACGTTGTTGACTGATTTGATCTTTAATCTCTTCTGTGATAGCTTTTTCTCATTCAGTTAATATTACCTTCGTCTACCTCTTTACTCCCCTGGTGAAATGTTTTTCTCTGGGGAACACGTGTATAGTTTTTCACCTACGTATTCATGATTTTCTTCTCTAATTCAAGGGGCTATGGGTGGACTGCAGAGAACTTTAAAACTATGATCAGAATTATTTGTCTTTAAATCCAGGCCCATTTACAAAGAGGAGTGAGGAGCTGCCTGGCTAAATAAAGGGTCATCAGGAAGATGATGGTGACTGTAAACAGTAGAGGAAGCAGTAGTAATATTGGGAGGATGGTTGAGATAATAGTAAGGTAGAGGAAGCAGTATTGGTATTTTCCTGATAGCTGTGGTGTGGTTAGCAATAGTAAGTGGTTGTAATTGCAATGGTGAAGGTATTTATAGGGTTGGCTTGGGAGGTGTTCTTGGGAGATGGTGGTTGTGAGGATAATGGTGATTGATCTGATGTCCTGAAGAACTCTTCCTGTCAGTTTACACCTATCTCACCACTTCTTCCTAGTTATGCCACCAACTGTAACTAGGAGTAAGCAAACACGCCAGCCCCTCTATTCAAAAGAAAAAATGTTCCTGCCTAACCTCACTGATACAGCTAAAGAAAGGAAGATGCACTCCTACATTTTAAGATGTAAACTGGAAAAGTATTAGTCTATAAAAACCTATAGCATAGGGATTCTAATACCTTCTCACTTGATTATGAGGGTTAAATGATAAAATAGCTTTTCTGTCAAATACATGGTAACAATGACATAACATTCACGAACACTTTGTTCCTCCTTTTCTCTCTTTGCCTTAAATTTTGTGGGCAAAATTGGTAGGAAAACTGTTATTAAACTTTGAAAAGCTTGTTTCTATGGAAAAATCAGTTCCAGGTTTTAAGGAACAGGTTTACAAATTATCTTTCAAAACACAACATGGTTATAAAGCAGAATTGGCAGTATCTGGTTTAAACAACTGGGTCAGAGATTTGTCCAAGTGTCAGGGGAGTGGTTCTTGGATGCTTTCCTTAACAACACTTATTTTATGGTTTGTGTTATAACCCCTCAAGGAGAAGCAGGACATATTTCTGTTGTATTTGGTTTTGACTGTAATATTTGACATAATTTATGTACAGAGCACAAAATGCTGACTACAACAGACAACAAAGATGTAGCCAGGAATGCTAAGATTGGAAAGCCACAGCATCACACAAAACAGAGCATTCCTCTCTAATAAATAGTTAAAATTACGCTTTGCAGAGAGGACTGAAGCCGAAACACCTTTAAAACAATTTAGCCATGAGGCTTTGCATGCTCTGTTCCTACTGTTCAATAGATGTGTCATCTATTGAAAGTGATCCTTTCCTACCAAATCCAGTGGAATGCAACCATGAGACACACAGAAAGTCATTAAAACCTCAGGAAAAAAATGATTCAAAACCTTAGTCATAAGGGCTAAAGCTTCCCACAAAACTTATGACATATTTTTAAATAACTAAAAGAATAGAAATGGTAAATTTCTAACCCAAAGTATAAATGCTCAATACGATGAATACTCCAGTTACCCTAATTTGATCATTACACATTGTATACCTGTATCAAAACATCACATGTACCCCATAGTTATACACCATTATTTACCCATAATAATTAAACATTTTAAATTATAAAACAGAAGGTGCATGTCATAAATCCATGGTATAATCTTTGGAGTTGATAACTAAATATATTTATAACTACATTTATTAAGATACATGGATGTCAATATCCATAATTAAATTGTCATTTTGTAATAAAGATTCTTTTGGTCTAAAAAATATTTTGGTTGCTATAAAGCATGCAGTTAAAGAATTTATCCAAGTACTTCCATAAAAATGCCTAAAATTGGTAAATCTTGTATCCTGTACTAAATAATATAGTCAAGTTTCTCTTTCCCAAAGAGAGAAAAATGAGATTAATAGCACACTTTGCAAAATATTACTTGCTCAAATAATTCTTTTTTTTTTTTTTTGAGACGAAGTTTTGCCCTTGCTGCCCAGGCTGGAGTGTAATGGTGCAAGCTCAGCTCACTGCAACCTTTGCATCCCGGGTTCAAGCGATTCTCTCAGCCTCCTAAATTGCTGGGATTACTGGCACCTGCCATCATGCCTGACTTTTAGTAGAGATGGAGTTTTGCTATGTTGTCCAGGCTGGTCTCGAACTCCTGGCCCCAGATGATCCACCCACCTCGACCTCCCAAAGTGCTGGGATTACAGGTGTAAGCCACTCTGCCTGGCCAATAATTCTTTTTAGATGGGCTATATCTGTGTTTGATTGACAGTATGACTATTTTGGCTTCAATGTCGTGACAGAATCAGCATTGCATATCTTCACTCACTTTTTAGAGAAACTATAGTCCCCATTCTCACTACTTCTTTGCCCTATGCATTTTACCCACTATTCTAAAAATCAAACACAGACCACAAAAAATATGATGCCCCTTATAATATATAAGCATCATCAACTCATGCTAAGAGCTTGAAGACAAGTACTTAAAGCTCTTAAAAGTTGTAGAAGACATCAGTCTGGTGACTTTCTTTGTTTTTTTTTGTTGTTTTTGGTGCTTGTTTTTTGTTTTTTTCTTTTGTTTTGTTTTGTTTTTCTTGAGGCAGAGTCTCGTTCTGTCGCCCAGGCTGGAGTACAGTGGCATGATCTCGGCTCACTGCAACTTCCACCTCCTGGGTTCAAGCAATTCTCCTGCCTCAGGCTCCCATGTAGCGGTGATTATAGGCACGTGCCACCACGCCTGACTAATTTTTTGTATTTTAGTAGAGACAGGGTTTCACCATGTTTCCCAGGCAGGTCTCGAACTGAGCTCAAGCAATCCACCTGCCTCAGCTTTCCAAAATGCTAGGATTACAGGCATGAGCCACCGTGCCTGGCTGGTCTGGTGACTTTGTTGGTAATTACTACCATTCATGTGAATCCACCTGGGCTTTTATACTTTATTCCTCTCTAGTATGTTTAGGCCACTGAAAATGTATCTTCTGACCTGGACCTCAGGGACCTGCCCTACTGTTTTATATTGGAAACGAAAGGTTCTAAGGAATGTTCAGAAGTCATACAATTGTCAGGGTCATATTCAGTATCTGGTTCACAAAGGATTTGTCTTGGAGAAGTTAATGGTCATAGGAGTCTAACTGCCAGCTCTACAATGCTCCTGAATATATTATAATCTAATGGTTAGACTGGTGAAGTCCCACACTTAATTCACCCATAGGCAAGGTCTGGAGAATATTGTGTAAATCAGCCCTAATCAGCTGTATCTCCAACCAAAAGTTGCACAGTTCCTTGTGAAAATTACCCACATCTAGGATCCAATGCTTCAGGGCATCTGACCGGTCTCCCTGCAGAGGATAGCCAGATCTGTAGAGACTGGCAAGATCTCTGATGCATTAGAGTCTAGGTCTGGGTGATGCATTGGAGTCTAGGTCTGGGTGATGCATTGGAGTCTAGGTCTGGGTGACTGAAGACCAGTTTGCTCTATTATTGTATATCCAGATTCCAGTCCCTTATCTTGAGATGTATTTCAGTGTCCCTGACATTCCTCTTCAGAAAGGCCCTGATACTGCACTATTCACTTAGCATTCAATCTTAGTTCAGCCTTTGATGGTGCGTTTTTAATTTCCCTAGACTCCCTGTCCTGTATCTCATCCACCAGTCTCACAGCCCTCATGACTTGTGTGGCTTGTAGATGTCTGCCTTGCTGAGTCCAGAGTCTGGAACCCAATTTCTTTAGAAGGGGAGTTTAAGCAAATACAATAGGTAAGTTCATAATTCTCTTGGACCAACAGATGTTAAAGATAAGACGAAGCGATAGACGCCATACGAGTTTACTTATCTTAGCCAAGGTATGTCAAATTTAAGAATCATGGCCTGTAGCTGCTTTATTGTAGTTTCCTGAGTCAATATACCAACTGATAGAAAGCAAGTTATGTCTACACAAGTCAAGCCTGAGATTACAGTCCTCAACAGCACGTTATACCTAGCTTCCCTTTGCCCTCTAACTCGCTCCCGATGACCACAGGGTAAACACAGAAAAAGATGCTTACTTTATTATTTACTAAGGCAGGAAAACATCTAAGAGCTGTAATTAATGGTGCCAGTAAAAGTGAAAAAGGAAGGTGGTTAGGTCACAACCCCCCTCTTTTTTTAACTTTGCACTCAAAATAGACATTTGCTCTCAGAAAGCAATTTCTGACCACTCTGATTCTTGTGCAAGTGTTTTGATAAATCTCTGAAGAAGCGTTAAAAGGTGGGGATCAATATTGAGGTAATAGAGCCTGGCCCATAAACAATTCCTGCCTTTGAGTCCTGAAAAGCTAATGAAAAGTCACAGAAAGAAAGTTTATACTTTACTGACTTTTATGTAAGAAGAAACAGTGTCCATGGTGGAGTTGTGAGATATTAAACCTACTCTTCTTCATCAAGATGTTTGATTTCTAAATACTCACTTACAACATATTGGAGGTAAGCCAGCAAGGATTTTTATGGTATCTGGCAACTGTAAAGTTTATATCTCAGAATAGGTTGGTTTATTCAACATTTACATAAAACTCATGATAGCAAATTGTACATATTTAGGTTAAAATGTCACCTCAGCATAAAAGACCACCTGCTTTAATATAGAAAGCCTAAGTCTTTGTAAAGAAAAGCATATTCCTGTGTACCCTTCTCAGAAGCATGTAAGCCAAGATGTCATAATGGCTCTATAAATTGGGCACCAGCAACCCAGACAGCAAGTCCCAAAGTAGCTTGGAAGAGGCTTCAGCAAAGTTATATGTGAGCCTCTGTATCACAGGCAACTTCTCACCCTTTCCTCGGCCCTGGCTTCCTGCTTTATGAGCAGCAACCTCCTCTGGGTGTCCTGGCTCTCATTAATTTTCCAGGGGTAGGAACATTTGAAAACCTGGAAGTACTGAAAGAAGATTTGTTTAAGAACACAGACTAATCCATGGAGTCACAGAAGAGGTGCAACACCAGGCCACAGGAAACAGGGCCAGAGAAAATGAAGTGGCAGAAATTCATACATTGTCTGTTTTAGATTCCTGCCTTTGGACGGCTTAGCCAGGACTAAATGCTATCCTTTCTTTCTCGAGGATGAGAGAACTGTGATTAATGGACTGAAAAATCACACTGGAATAGGAAAGAAAGAGGCTTTTCCAATGGCAGATATGCTTGTGTGGCAAACACTAGCAATGTCTACTCCACTGCTCTACAATGCAAGTAGTATTTTTTAAAGATTTTCTTAAAATGGGCCAACATTTATCCCACACTTGCTCAATTTGATACCTGTAACTCCATTCTGTAGAAGCAAAATCCCTCCCCCAAAATAGATCTCCAAGTAACTCAAAGTAAATGCAAGTATTACTGTAATACCTGTAGTATTCTGTTATTTAAAATTTTACTTCTGGCCAGGCGCGGTGGCTCATGCTTATAATCCTAGCACTTTGGGAGGCTGAGGTGGGCGGATCACCTGAGGTTAGGAGTTCAAGACCAGCCTGGCCAACATGGCGAAACCCCATCTCTACTAAAAATACAAAAATTAGCTGGGTGTGGTGATGCATGCCTGTAGTCCCAGCTACTCGGGAGGCTGAGGCAGGAGAATCACTTGAACCCAGGAGGCAGAAATTGCAGTGAGCCGAGATCGCACCACTGCACTACAGAGCGAGACTCGGTCTCAAAAAAAAAAAAAAAAAAATTTACTTCTAGTATTCTAGCAACACTATGGTATCATTTATGAAGAAGCATAATATATTCCTAAATATGCAATCAAATGACATGTTATTTAACAAGATAAAGTGCATACATTTTGTTTTAAATAATCAGTTTTCCAAGATTTATGGTACAAGATAGTACCTATCACACGCCAAGAGCCTAAGAGGCATATAAAGAGATATAAGCTATCTTTCTCTAGGCCTTTTAGAGGGTTTGGGCTAGGTAAAATAAATTTTCCAGGCTTCTCCACAAAAATATGTTTGTATTAGAATGCAACTTATTGGGCCCAAGCTTCTTGCAGACCAGGCCATGGAAATTTGGACATGCTTTCATCGGTCAGCCTGATATCCCTTTTTCCCAAGCATCAATAGTATTAATTGTAATTATTTTAATTATTAGTTAATCATCACTATAAGATACAATAAAATGAACTGTTATATAAAAATATTACATTTGGGCCGGGTGTGGTGGCTCATGCCTGTAATCCCATGACTTTGGGAGGCCAAGGCGGGCAGATTGCTTGAGCTCAAGAGTTCAAGATCAGCCTGGGCAACATAGCGAAACCCCATTTTTACAAAAAAATACAAAAATTCGCTGGTTGTCTGTGCCTGTAGCCCCACTTACTTGGGGAAGCTGAGACAGGAAGACCGCTTGAACTTTGGGAGGTCGAGGTTGCAGTGAGCCAAGGGCAAACCACTGAACTCCAGCCTGAGTGACAAAGTGAGACCCTGTCTCAAAAAAAAAAAAAAAAAAAAAAGAAAAGAAAATATTACATTTAATGTAAAATTATACAGTGGACTGTAAGAAACTAAACACTAACTTTTCAATCATCTATTGAACTATTAAATTTGGGAGAAAAACAGTACTTTCCATGTTGTTAAAGTTCTATTTCTCTATATTTCCCTATTCTTCCTGTACTTTTATATCCACAGCTGTGAGTATTGTACATTCTTTAATGTCCTCCTTATTCATTAAATTTTTATTCACTTTTACAAAGTAAATTGAGCTTTCAAATGATCCATCTTGATGAATAAGAAATGGATTATGCTTGTGGGTGAATCTTTTTTTCACTGTTGTTAGTCATTCTCATAATTTAAAAATTATGTAAACAAAATTATTTTTAGCAAATTATGAATGTCTGTGCTTTCTGATTACTTAATTGCAGAGAGATAAGCTTGAAGAGAATGTTACACTACCTTTTGTACCAAGTCTCAGTATCCCAATTCAAAAGCAATTTTTCCAAAGAAAGCTGAGCAACAACTTTCCCATAAAAAGAAAAGTAAAATCGAATAGTTGCAGCTAGAAAAAGAGTAAATCTCTTTTATCTCCAGTTAGACACACATTAAAAAAAAAAAAATCTGTGTTTTTTCTTATATGTTTCAGGCCATGGTGCCTAACAGAAAGCCTGAAAAACTATTTGAATAAAACAAGAAGTAGCCATGTTTCAAAGAGATAATGTCATTTGCATTTGATTGAGAAAAATCTTGAAATTCTGAGGAATTCAACTTAAATTGTTGTATGTGTCATTAGCGTTGCACATTTTCACAAACTTATAGGATTTTATACATGAGAAATATGTCTTAAGTATGCCAAGCAAGGTGATTTTATTGACAATGCCACCAGCTACCATATTCAGACATGCCTTATTTTCCTGTGTATTTTGACATCATTTAAAACATATGGACTTTTCTTGTTATATAAAGGTTTTCTTTGTTGTTATGCACATCTGCCAGCAGTCAGTCTTTTTTTGACATATTTAGGAAACCCATAGTCACAACTTAGCAGGCATTCTGAAAGTATATTTTCCATCTGTTAATTCTATCCAACACCAAAAGAAAGATATTAATGAAATATATACTAATCACTTCTTAAGCAGCTTCTCCACAAAACAGAATAATCTTTTCATTAATAATCATAATAATTAATTTCCACTTTATTATGGACAATTTAATTATTTTAAATTGCTTTTAAAAGGTCTACTTTCATTTCATTGTCATTTTTTGCCTAGGTTATTGAGCAACTTTTTTGCTAATAACAAAACAGTACCAAATCATTTGTTGTTAATATTATGTCTTGTCCTTAATTAAACTTTTTACTTCTGTTCTGTGAAACTAGTGTGTTTGAACAAAACAATTTTAAGGCCAGATTTTGTTGGATAATTCTGGCTAAAAGAAACAAGCAAAGACAGGGAAATAAAAGATATTGTGTGGCAATGGCCCATATTTACATAACACTACAATATTTTCCAAGGAAATGTTAAAATTCAATTATTCCAGGATAGCAAGAAGCAATAAAGCTACCATTGGCAGCAAACAATTGAATATCTGTCTCTGGCCTGTACTGAAATAAACAAAAAGCATCTTTGGAAGTCACTGTTAACTAACCTAACAAGTTTATTAGTTTAGCCTTCCATTTATGCATGCATTCATTCAAAGAAATATTTATTGAGGGAATATGATTCATCGATATTAAAACAAAATTCAGTCTTTCCATTTCCTTAGGATCGCTGCTTTACAGAGGAGAAGGCATATTATGACAATATGCATAATAAAAAAATTAGAAAAAATAGATGAGATGCAAAAGTAGAGCAGGGAATAGAGACATTAACTCTGCAGATGGTAAAGACGGCTTCACGGAAGAAGAAACCACTTAAGTCTTAGGATACTTAGGGTTTATTGGGTAAAAAAAAAAAATAGGGAAAGAATGCTTTAAATGCAGAAGAAATGTATGTGCAAAGTCACGTTGCACAATATGTAACATCGGGTCATTTTTATCTGCACCTAAGTGACTCGGGTGAAACTCCATGAGAAGACGTTGAAGAAAAAATTAGGCAAAGTCCACATCAAGAAGGTGTTTTCAAGTCAAGAGAATCAGCTTCAGAGATGTGAGGACTTGTTAAGGGAACTTTATAAGGAGTTGATGGTATATCTGAGTTGCATTTTAGAGAAGTAAACACACTGGGGTAGAATGGGCAGATTAAAGGGAGAAAATACTAAAGGCAGAGAGACCACTTGGAGTGTCTTCACAGTTAACAAGAGAAAATTAACAAGATCTTTTAATTTCAGAAAGCCCACTATAAACAACACCACCAGGCTCTCCAGCTTCCATCTCTAGCAATCTTACATCAATGCTTTGACTCCTCAAGACCACAAGTCCCTTGACTTTCATAAGTTTTCATTATTCATCACTATGTTCATCTTCACTTGCCATCATGACTAGTTTAAATTCCATAATTAACTATTAAAATCATCCTTTTAAAAACATCCTTTACTCCTATGCATGTGTCTTCTTCCACACACAAATCCAAACTTGTGTGGGCCTAATTATCTTCTTACTTTTCTAAGGCTAGTTCTGAACAGTTGAATGTTCCTGGATAAAACACACATATAAGGTGATTATTGCCATTTCAATACAACTATTCATTTAGCAAATATTTACTGAGAGCCTACTATATGTCAGGCATATGTTCTAAGATCTGGGGATATAGAAATAATAAGACATAATTAATATCCTCCTGGACTTTGCCTTCTAGTGAAGAAAATCTATAAACAAAATAGGCAGACAAAAGTCAATGAATACATAAAATAATTTTAGTAACAAATATATATGAAAGAAACATCAAGGGAAGTGAATAAAAATAGGATGAAAAGGCAACTACATAAGGTGGTCAGGGGAGAGCTTTCAGAAGAGATGAAATCAGGGCTAAGAATGGAATGATAGGAACTGTGAATATCTAGGAAAAGAGCCCTAAAATATCTCTCAATTCACTCAGAGTAAAAGCCACAAGTCATCATGGCTGTTAGAATGTCCTCCAGCAAGAAAGGGCTCTGCCATTTCTGTAGCCACAACTCCTTTTACTCTCCCCTTGGTTCACTCTGTTCCAGTCACATAGGCCTACTTGGCTAGCACACAGCAGGCAAGTGCCACTAGCCTTTGTATTGGCTTTGAAATGACTGTCCTCTCTATCTAGAACTCTTCCCTCGATAGCTTTATGGCTCTCTCATTTCCTTCAAATCCTACCATTTCAATGAGGCCTACCCCGACCTGCTCAACTCCCACTACTTAAAATCTCAACATGCTTCCCAAAACCCAGGTGTTCCTGATCCTCTTAACCTGCTACACATTTTTTCTTTTTCTAAAGCATGCTTTTCTGATATATCAGATGACTTATTCATTTATTTATTTATGTTTTTAATTTCTTACCTTTTCTTGCCTCAGGCCCTCGGCTAACTTGTAAATTTAGCAGAAATCTTTGTTCTGTTTATTGAGAGATGACCAATAACTAGAACAGCACTGGTATGCTATAGGTATTCAATAATCATTTGTTAAATAAATGAAGAGTTTTAAGCAGAGAAAACAGCAAGTAGAAAGACCACGAGTTAGAAACAAGCTCAGCATGTTCAAAAAACACTATGACTCTCATAGTATGAACATGAAGAGAAAAGGGAGATGAAGTGCAGAAGTACATATGCCTTTTAGGCTATGGCAAATAATTTCTATTTCATTTTATTTTATTCTAAGTGTCAACTGGATTTAACTTCAGCGAGTTTGACAATTTTCTGATTTTTTACCCTTTTCTTTACCCTCTTCTTATTATTCTTTTTCCCCTTATCTTCTGAAATGCCAAATGTTACAGCTTTATCAAAATAGTTAATGACCTCCCTCTTCCTTCATGAGTTCAGAACAAAATGAGAGATAGAGGCAAAAGTCAGAAAGCAAGATATACAGATACAAACTTCATCCTTGAATTAGATATTTCTTTCAATGAAGACATTGGCATGACCAGATCTCTTCCCGAGGGCCTGACCAAAAGCCACAGAGGAAACCAGCCTATGTACTTCCTGTTGACCAAATGGCTTCCGAAGAGAAAGAAAGGACAGGACTAAATCCAAAATCACCAATCAGATAAGTCATCCTCCTTCCCATGGAATGGGAGTAAAGATGTCCTTGTAGACAGGTTCCTCCAAATAAAACGAGAAATCAAGGACTGCTCCTGTAGAGTCCTAATTCCCAGGTAGTTCTGGCTCCTCACATTCAAGCAGAACATCTTTGAGCAGCTGGAGAAAGCCCTCAGGCAAGGAGATGCCGGGACCAGCAGCTGGAAGTGGGAAGGAGTTCACTGTAACAGTAAAGTCCAAGGCCACTTCATCAGGACACCACCAAATCTCAAACTGACCTGCCCTTACACCAGTCTTCTCTGCCTTTCCTTCTGATACAATAAATTTGCTGTAGTCTTACTGTATAACTTGTTTTATAGTATAATGTTCTTTCACTAAACTTCACATGCTAAAATGCATGGGGAAAAAGAAAGGAAATCAGTATATATCAAAGAGATATCTGCAGTCCCAAATCTGTACACCAACCAAACATAACATGCAGTTTACCTATATAACAATCCTGCATATGTGCCCTAACAGAATTGCCACTCAACCTGGCAGTCTTATTACTGGGTATATACCCAAAGGAATATAATTTATTCTACTGTAAAGACACATACACACATGTTTATTGCGGCACTCTTCACGATAGCAAAGACAGAATCAACCTCAATGCCCATCAACAGTAGACAGGATAAAGAAATTATGGTACATATACACCATGGGATACTAAACAACCATAAAAAGTGAGATAATGTTCTTTGCAGCAACATGGATGGAGCTAGAGACCATTATCCTAATCAAACTGATGCAGAACAGAAAACCAAATACTATATATTCTAAATTATAAGTGTGAGGTAAACAGCGAGAACACGTGGACCCAAACAGGAGAACACTGGGGTCTATTTGAGGGTGGAGGGTGGGAAGAGGGAGAGGATCAAAGAAAAATGCCTATCAGGTACTATGCTCATTACCTGGGTGATGAAGTAATCTGTACACCTAACCCCGACAACACACAGTTTACTTATGTAACAATCCTGCACATGTACCCTAAACATAAGAAAAACGTTTAAAAAAGAGTTGATTGCATGGAAGCAGAGATAGAATAGTGGTTACCAAAAGCTGGAAAGGGAAATCAGCAGGAGAACGGATGAAGAGAAGTTGTTTAATGTGTGTAAAAATACAGTTAGATAGAAGGAATAAGTTATAGTATTTGATTGTACAGTAAGAAAATTATAGTTAATAATTTACTGTATACTTCAAAATAACTAGAAGAAGTGTAATGTTCCCAATGCAAAAAAAAGATAAATGTTTATGACAAGGGATATCCCAATTATACTGATTTGATCATTGCATAATGTATACATGTATCAAAATATCACATGTACTCTGAAGGTATGTACAACCATGATACAGCAATAAAAATACTTTAAAAACCCAAAAACTTTAGAAACAGAAACACCAAATTAGAAGCATAACAATTGAGACAAAATAATTTAAAATCTAAAAAATAAATTAGATGAGAAATAGGAAGCAAACTGTACAGATGCACAAAAGGAGTGCTAAGCTAGTCCAGACCGCAAAAGGCCTGTGCATGGTGCAAGACTGGAAAACATGACAACTCGGGCTTGGTTCAAGGTTACTCTCACTGTGCTTACTAATGAACCAGAAAATATGTACTGTAGAAGATAAATATTCTGTAAGTACCTGAGTGAGCAGGCCCAGCTCTCCAGGATCTCTCCAGGGCCTTGCTCTGTGTACAAAGCAAACTTCCAGCAAGCTGAGCAGTTCACGGCTATAAGCTCACTTCCTTTTGTATCTTTAGACTGGGGAAGACACAACAGCATCAAGGATCTACCAGCTATGTAGAAAGTAACTTCTACTGCAGCCCAGTGTTCTGTGTGTCATTTCTATTGAATCACTAGGACTGCAATAGTGCTGGATTCCTCTACTATAGACACTGCACTATAAAGGAGAAGAAGCACATGTCAGATTCAAAAACATGAGCCCAGAACTTCTTATGTGCAGGAAATATAACTGTAGGTCTAACATAGTTTTTCAAGGACTGACACCATAATATTACTTATGTTCAAAATTCAACTCTGTCATATATTGCACTAGCTGCGGAACTTTTGGCAAATAAGCATCTTTCTATACCTCAGTTTCCTCATATTGGGATGGTCATAATCATAGCATCTATCTTATGGGGTTGTTGTGGAGATTAAATAATTTAGTAAGTGCTTAGAACAATGCTTAGCACATTTGAAGTGCTATGTGTTAGCTATTGATAACTTTATAATTTCTCTAAATTTTTATTTTGGCTTCCACACAGTTAATTTGATGAGAAAGTTTAACCTTGGCCTTTTAAGGGATCCCCAATCCTCTTTCCATGCCACTGGAGCCAGGTATAGTGGACTCCATTTGTCTACATATGTCCAAATTTAAAAATAAACTGGACAAACACTTTACTGACAAAACACATCTGTGGGATGCATTTAGCTTGCAGATCATAATTTTGAGACCTCTGACCTGAGGGCTTAGCCTTTGGAACACTATGATCATAAAATTTCAGCTTTGTAGAATATCACATTTCACCCTTAAGGCAATGCACATATTAATATCTACCTACTGTTTGAAGGAGAGTGATGGAAAAAGAGGAAATACAGGAAGTATAGACGAAAACAGTAAATATTGTTTAATGTCTCAAAATATTATTCTTCCATCATAGATTTTATAAATTGGTTTATGGACCAAAGGATTTCCCTAAGAGTTATTTGAAACTTTTGTGTTTTGGCAAAAGATGTTTACATTTCATTAAGAATTTCAACTATCTGCTATGCATTATTTTTTATCAATAATAGTGCAGTTAGAACAGTCCTTCTTAAACATTAATGTGCACATGAATCACATGGAGATCTTGTGAAAAGGCAGAATTTGATTAGTTTAGGGGTGATACCTGTGGCATTGCATTTCTAACACACTCTCAGGAGATACTGTTGCAGAAGCCAGTACCTCTACTAAGGTACAGGCCTCCAAAGGGTCTTGCACAAATGAGAGACCCTGAGGCTCAAGCATTATGCTACTGATGACATGCAGCATATTATGCAAAATGATAATCTCAGAGTTGCTGTCACAAATACTGGTATAACTGCCTCTAACTTCTAGTTCATAAAGTTCAGTTACTACTTTAGAAACCATAATCTGAGTTTAGTTTAGAGTACCTCTTTTATAACAGAGTCCATATAATTGTCATATGTAATCTATTTTGATGTATGCATTTCAAAGAATACTTAGAACATTAATTTGAATAATTTGCACTTGATTTACTTAGAGAATCAGAAGCAGTACAACAGTTATCTACAATGTTAGATAGTGGCCCTCAATATTGCACTCTATTCAATTCTAAATTCTTAATAACACATAGACTGGAACACTGGTTGCATACTTTTAAGAGAAACTTTTAGTTGTGTATTTTTAAGAGAAAGTGTTTTAATTCTTTCTTATGTAAAAATAGATTAGCAAGAGAATTTTAATTCTTATGTAACAATAGATTAGTGAGAGAAAATGCATTCTGTCATATATATTCATACACAAACACATACATGTATTTTTAATGGGTCAAAGGAGATGAATAAATTTTCTTTAAACACTTTGGAATCATTTGGAATATTTTAATTTTGTAAAGTCGAAAATAAGTGAAATGGATTGTGAAAATCAAAATAAAACAAAATATACCTTTTTAAATGTCTTTTAAGAGTAACATTTGCTTCAACATATTGACAAAGTTAGCAAAGAAATGCTGAAATAAAATTTACCTCAAAAAATTTCATGAAAATATGTGATTACATTATATAAACATATAAAAATAACTACAGAAACTTCAGAGCACATATATCTGGTTTTAAACAATACTGTTTTAATCAGCTTTTACTCCTAAGTAAGTTAAATATTTATCTAATCAGTTCTATGAAGGAGACCACTTTGACCCCTCTACCACCCTCTATTTATGTGACTTCTGGAAATACAGAACTAATCCCCACAGAGACTCAAAGCAAATTTGCTCACACATGTCCTTGTGAAAGGAAAATATTTTAAAATTAAATGTCAAATGGAGAAATCTTTATCAAAATACTTATCAAAATGCTAGATATTATTAGAAAATTGATGCGACAAAATAGGAACTATGATTTTTTCCAGTGTCCCAAACCATAATACTACCTTTTTAGAAACCCCACTGGCAGTTCTAAGTTACTTATCTTAAATATAACCTAAAGAAGTCAGAGAAAGTCCACCAAGTAAAAATGGAACACACAATGAAAGTGTAAACTCCACAGAAAATTCACAGCAATGACAACAGAGTCAACATGTTTTTGTTTCTTGTTTATTGAATCACAGCCATAGTAAAATTATAACTACCTATAAAATATCTACCACTTTTCACAGCAATTAATAGACTTACTGGGACCCATCAGTGTGAAATACAACATAAAATTTTTTTAAATAAAAAAACAAGTTGTATTTAAATTCTTGTCAAAATTCCATCATAAGCTAATTAAAATGGTTTATTTTGTAAAAGCTATGATTAGAGATAGAAACCATACCTTTTGCCAACATAGCTTTTATTGTCATGGTAAAGAGAAATTGTATTCACCATATATTGGCTTCATAGAACATAGTTTCTACCCATCTTGACAAGTATTACACATTTTTATGTACATGAAACAAGATAAAATAATTTTAGCTGTTTGAGTCCACCTTAGTGCAATTCCTCAAAGACACAGGAAATAAATAACTTCACACAAGCTAAGAGCTGGCCCAGCTTATATCTTTGAGAGCAGCTGATTTCTTTGTTGTTTACTCAAATATTGTTAAACAATGGAAATATCATGAAATAGTCCACTTTTAAAGCTATGTCTGTCCTAAAATGATTTCTTTTGGCCATGTGGGAAGTGTTGGGCATTCTCCAAGCTCCAGGCAATTTTAGGTACCAGTGGCTTTTGACATTGTATTATTTTCCAGGAATGTTCAAGACATCACAACCCCTTCTTTACCTGATTCATTTTTCATCAACATTCTAGACAGAGATTAAGCATCATCTTTCCAAGAAGTCTTTCTGTGTTGTTTGTTTACACATCAGCTGACATTTTTCTTCCTCTGGCCATAGTCATATATATGTGTGTGTGTGTGTGTGTATATATACGTATATATATGTATACCATATATATACGTATATATATGTATACCATATATATACGTATATATATGTATACCATATATATACGTATATATATGTATACCATATATATACGTATATATATGTATACCATATATATACGTATATATATGTATACCATATATATACGTATATATATGTATACCATATATATACGTATATATATGGTATACCATATATATGTATATATATGGTATACCATATATATGTATATATATGTATACCATATATATGTGTATATATGTATACCATATATATGTGTATATATGAATACCATATATATGTGTATATATGTATACCATATATATGTGTATATATGTATACCATATATATGTGTATATATGTATACCATATATATGTGTATATATGTATACCATATATATATGTGTATATATGTATACCATATATATATGTGTATATATGTATACCATATATATGTGTATATATGTATACCATATATATGTGTATATATGTATACCATATATATGTGTATATATGTATACCATATATATGTGTATATATGTATACCATATATATGTGTGTATATATGTATACCATATATATGTGTATATATGTATACCATATATATGTGTATGTATGTATACCATATATGTGTATGTATGTATACCATATATGTGTATGTATATATATGTATACCATATATATGTATATGTATACCATATATATGTATGTATATGTATACCATATATATGTATGTATATGTATACCATATATATGTATGTATATGTATACCATATATATGTATGTATATGTATACCATATATATGTATGTATATGTATACCATATATATGTATGTATATGTATACCATATATATGTATGCATATGTATACCATATATATGTATGCATATGTATACCATATATATGTATGTATATGTATACCATATATATGGTATACATATATATACACACACATGCATACACACACATATATATTAAATATATATGAATATATATGTTTTTCAGCATCTGTGTCATTACATTATAATAGGTTGTCCGTACATCTGTGTCCCCTATTAATCAGCAAGCTTCATTAGGAAAGTGATTGGATCCCCTGATTTCTATTCCTTATATCTAATACACTACTGGACTACAATACAGACTTTAAATTGATTGGTTGAGTGAGGGAATGGATGAATACCCAGCATTTTTCTTCCTCAATGTATGGAAAGAAATAAAAGCATTACTTTTTGAATATTAAAATATGCCAGTACCCGAATTTAAGACTTTATTTACCATATACCATGTATTCTCCCATATATTTCCTAGAAAAAAAGAAAAATTATTAATTCCACGTAACTAATGTGGAAGCCAAGGCTTAAAATCATTAATATATCCAAAGATTATACGAATAGTAAATAGTGAAGATGAAATTTGAATGAAGATACCTTGCACTGCATAACCTATGTTAGTAGGGGCAGATAACCTGAAATACGGATGTTGGCAAAGGAAAAAGCCTGACTCAGATTGGGAATTTTCAGACAAATCTCAGACTCTAAGCTACCAAAAACCATCAAGAAGAACATTCCAGACCTAATAACTCTTATCTTGTATATTTTAGACCAGAGCTGAGCTTGGAACGTTGCTTTCATGTAGATTTTGTCATTCTAATCTTGGCCATACTGTATTACTTCACATGGCATAAACAAGTTTTAAGTTTTCTCTCTCTGTTCAAAATTCACAAACTGCCAACTTCCACTTTTGAATTCATAATATATAATGAGCCAGAGCAGTCCAGATAAGAGATTGGAGGGGCAAAGAGGAAGGAGAAGATGGGGAAAATATATAATAACAATATAATTTCATGCTGTTTCATGCTTTCTTGCTATATTTTTGTGTTATAAATTTCTAAATTTGTAACAGGTGAGCTAACACTAGCAATTGATAAAACACAATCCATTTAATAAAAAGAGGTTAAATAAAATGTAATATGAAAACAAGTGCACACATGTGAGCCATATATTACTTTATTCCAGCTATTTCCTTGTATACCATGCCAATAAGAATAAATAAAAGAAAATTTGGCCTCCAAATATGTTATGTACTTGCTGTTTTTATTTATTTATTTTATATGGGTTATAGCCTATGAGAAGTTCTGAAGAGCTAACAATAACCTTCTTCATACAAACTGGGTTTTCACTCAATGAAAAATAGTGTAGTACGATTCAGCTTAATATGATTTTAAGGAAGGCAAAGGTGTATAAACAAAGTACAGAAATCATTTATGTATAGCTTCAACTTCCATACTGTTAACGAAGAGTTATTGATCATGTGGAATAAAGAACACAATGGCCAGTCAGTTGCACTTTAAGTTACTTTTCCACAAGTGGTGATGCTCATGTGGTGCCTTACTAAAATTGTAAGCAAGAATGTTGATTCTATGTATTTTTCTCAGGTGCTAATAGTATTGATTCTTCTTTCCTTTCTCACTGTAATCCACTAGCTTTATATTACACCAAAACTTATAGGATAAAGAAAATGTACGAAAGAAGGAAAAATATGGTTCCCCTCCTCTTTAGCCATGATGAATAAAATTAGTCAAGCTTCATATGGTCAACAGCATGTATTACGCATTTCTATGTATCATAAGCCCTGAGATAACCCAGGGGAGGCAAAGGGTATGTGCTCTGATTTTCAAAACCTTGTAACCATGCTAAAGCTGAGTGGATGGACATGAACTCCAAGAGTAGGCAGAACCAACCAGGAAGAGCTCGGTGGCTAGAGTACATATACACAGTATAGATGTTCCTCCTTGAAACCATCCATTGACCTCATGTTGCTTGTGCCTCGGGTTTCTGCTTGCAAAAGGGCAATTAGTGAGAGTCAGCATATATTCTCAGCAGAGAGCTCCTCTGTAAACTTGGTCATGATCTCAGTTGTATTACTCAAGCGTCTTAGCCAAATGAAAAGAAATGTCAGCTTGGAATTTTTCAGATATTTGCAAAAAATATTTTCATTCCAAAGACAAGTAAGGGAAGAAGAGTAGTCATAAATTCCTTATGTTCTCTGAAACGTGCAAAATTTTAAATAGAATTTTATACAGAAAATTAAAAATACAATAACCTGGCATCTTTAACTCAATATTCGTAACAATTTAATGGTGGTGGGCTTTAGTGAAGCCTCCTATTCAGGCTTTATTACTTTAATAAAACAACTTTAGTACATTTTCTATTCCACAGTAGTACTTTATTATGAGTTACAGAAAGTAAACTGCCCTTGTTAAAATAAATAAAGCAAGTACATCTCAGGATTTCACATACCTGATTTTATAATGTTGTTTTCTAATGTGCATCGCTACTCATTTGCACAATTCAGTCATCTCTTAGGAATTCTCAAGTCATTAGCATGAATTAGTATAGTATTAAGTATGAAATGCGAGATACTTCTAAGAATTTTAAAAGAAGTGCACTGTTAGGCACAGATTAATGGGGAGTAATTTATCTCCTTCTACATTTACAGCTCCCACAATGAAAGCAGACGGGCCACAAATATGCTTTTCCTAAGTGGTCATTTTTAGTGGCAAACTGCTAACACAGCAACATTTCTGGGTCCATTTCTTCAACACAGACTCACAGGAAACCCAACATGCTGTAGTAGAATGAATCCTGAGTTGAGAGACATCAGATGGCATCTGTGGTACTGCTCTGGCATTGTGTGACTATGTGTCATGTGGCTTCTTCCTCTATCCTAAAGTGGTTCCTTACACATTGTACATTCTCTTCAATGTTTAGGAGTTTGACAAAGTACTCTGTAATATATAGAGCCCTTTGCTGTGTACATTAATTTATTTTCACATCTCCACAGGATAACATAACCCTGATTTTACAGGTAGGAAAACTGCTACTCCTCTAGGAAGTGTAAGTAAATGTCTGATGCCACATTACTGGCAACTGCCAGAATCAGTACATCTTCTAAGTTCTCATGTGTTTAGTGTTAGGTAAGAAAGTTATCTCAGCTCATTATCCCACAGAGGTCCCACACGCCAAAGACTGGGGCCAGAGTGGAGCAAGGCACTCAAATAGTTCACTAACATGCATTCTCTTCTAAACTAATACATTCCCCAAATAAAATCAATTTCTTGTCCAGTCTTTGAAGATATGGTTAATTTTTAGGAGTAAAAGTTTCTAAAATAACCCTCACATAATTTTTATGCTCTTGCTAACCTTTGGAGAGCAGCATTCATAAGCTCTCTTTGGAAGGGCTATTATTCCCAAATATAACTCATAGTATCTAAGTTATTAATGTATTCTTTACTCACTTTACCTTAAGTTACAGAATTTGGAATTATGTAATACAACTAAGAAAATGCTAAAACTGTGTCATTGAGTACATGAGCGGCTGCTATGAGTCTCAAGAGATGAGATACAAAATGGAAAAAAGTTTTAAATTAATCTGGCTACAAAGATTAAATATAAAAATGATGACTAAAAGTAGTCATCATGTTATTATTCTTGTTATTATTCATGTTATTATTCATGTTATTATTCTTAACCAAGAGAAAATATCTATCCTGTTCCTTTTTGGAACTGTTTATCTCATCTTCAACTCAATTTCCAACTCACATCTACCAGAAGATCTGCTGCTAATACAGCTTGGGTCTCCACAGTACATCTTGGATGTGGTCTTCCCGTACAATCTATATACATTTTGTCAGTTCATGTTCTATGATTACAGTATTTTCTGCTTTGTATTGTAATTGATTACATGCTTCTCCCTCTCTTTATTCTGAGTCCTTGATGTCAAGGGCCACATTTAACTGTTTGAGGGGTAGTGAGGGGGACTGGATACACTAAGCACCTAAAACAAAGACTCAGTATGATTCTGGAGTAAGTGAACAAATGAGTAAATCTAAATTTGTTTGAAATCTGATGACTAATAGTAAGCCCATGTCATAAAATCAAATGCAGTGTTTCCTTATAGTCCATGTATAGTTTTCTGTACTAACAGCTGTAAAAGAATTCAAAAGAGAGCAATAGACAAAAGCATCTGTATCTTTCATGACAGTAGAAAGTGAATACAGAGATGTTAATCATTATTATAGTCCCTCAAAAGGTACTGCTTTTTCATTCCAAAATATCTCTTACTTTTTCTTGACACAGTCAAATGGGTTCGCTAATTTACCTAATAAAAACAAATCCTTAGGTAAATTATTGGCTTCCTTTAAAAGGAAGCTAAAGTAAATTAGGATGGGTCAAAGTTAGACCTAGAAACTTCAAAAGTGACTATTTAATTGAGTGTATTTAACTTATCTTTCCATGATAATTGATAACAAAAGCATTCATCTAATTGAAAATCTCCATGAAATAAAGCAAGACATACTGAAACACTATTCCATATTTTTTTCATGAATCACTTATCTTTAAAGAAAAATTGAGTTACTGATGTATTTAACAGTTAATTTTCAGCTAACTGATGCAGAATTTAAACCTTTGACAAAAAAATTAATAACTTTGATGTTTTAGTTTTAATATTAACAAAGGATAGCAGATTTAAGCCATATTTAAAATGTTCACAGTACATATAGACACTTACCCTGAACAATTAGTTACACAGAGAGTCACAAGATGAAATTCAAAAGCAGCATCTTTAGATTTTGAGGTTGTTACTCCAAACATAGACATGAGAAAAATCTCTGTAAATATCTCATCAATTCAGAAGATTATTGAGTTTTAGTAAAGAGATAGGAAGAACATGGAAGTCATAAGAGACACTAAAATTAAAAACACATTTGTTTCTGATTTCAGATTTTGATTCTTTAAAGGGAAAAAAACACAAAAAGAAATAAGGGTAAAGGAAAAAAAAACACAAAAAGAAATAAGGATAAAATCTACATACTCAATGCAAAGGCAAGGAATTTTTCAGACAGAAAATAATCTGGCTGATGGAAATAATAAAGCTAAACACCATGCTCCCCACCATCAATCATAAGGTTTGAGATGAAAGATAGATACCCCAGAATACAAATAGACACGGAGAGGCTTCACAATTTTGTAAAACCTTTAGGGGACAGAAAAGGAGAAAGATGTTTCTTCATCTTTGGAATACAGTAGACATGTCCCTAACCCCACAAATTCAGAACCCTGGGCAGGTCCCTGAGAGCCAAATGAGACGCATATTTCAGAGTAGAGATAGCTGGCTTGAGTCTTGGGAGAGGCTAAAGCTACAGGACACTAGGTGATAGATGAGGCAGCATTGCTGGAAGTGAGCACAGGAAGCATTTTAAGATGGCAGAAGCAACAGCAGAACAGTAATTTGGATAAACCCTAAGACAGATTCCTGTACTAACTTCCCTCCTTCACCTCCTAGCTCTGTGTGCTTGTTCAAGTTACATGACCCACTGAACTTGTTTCTTTAACTGAAGAATAAGACTATCAACACCAAACTTAAATAATTTTTATACATATTTGGCTAGGAAAACAGAGCCACTTAATGTGTTCTAAGTATGAAGGGTTTAATATGAAAAAGTAAAGAATTCAACCATTAGAAGAGTTGGGAAGTAAGTGATGAGTTGGGGAGTGAACAAGAGTTGAGGGTCGTCAGGGAAGCCCCATGCCCATGATCACAGCCCGAAGCACTGGTATGGGGTTTCTCATGAGCTTATAGGGAAGTTGCTGCAATGCCTTTGAAATATATGAGTATATGAAAGTTCCCATTGATCTTCTCTGTCTGCATCAGTAAAAGCAATGGTTTTCAGTAGCTGGCTGGAAAGCCAATGTGAATCTCTCATCTGCACAGCATATGATGGAAATTGCCTTCAGAAAAAAATGGCCTTGCAGTCTTCTGCCTTCCTAATCAAGCAGAAATGCTACTTCTTGGCATAGGTCAGTCTGAAACCATACAGGGAGGGGGATTCTTAAAACACAAAGGCTCTGGCTTCTCTGCATTGTGAGGAGACCTTAGAAAGAGGTGGTGATGATGCAATTATTCAGCATCAATGAAAATGTTAAATTTGATTATCCACAATAAGAGTACAGCAAAGATTTGTACTAGTATTATTTATTATCTTTACAGGGTAGAAATAACTTTTGGGCAAAATTAACTGTACAACAGAGAGTATTTATTGATATCTGATTTCAGGCACAGAGAAACTTTAGAAAACAGAGTTTGATGGTCCCTTGGTGAAGAAAAATGGTGTAGATGTTTTTTCCCATAATTCCCAAAATTTCTTTTGATGGAACTATATAACTTACACCGTCAGAAAACAAACATTATTTTAAGGAGGGAAAGGGAAGTAGGACAGTAAGGAAAGAAGGAAGGAAGGAAGGAAGGAAGGAAGGAAGGAAGGAAGGAAGGAAGGAAGGGAGGGAGGGAGGAAGGGGAAAAGGAAAAGGAAAAAGGAAGGAAAGGAAAGGAAGGGAAAAGGGAAGGAAAGGAAAGGAAAGGAAAAAGGAGGGAGGATTTTAGCAGTTACACTGCTAGGATGTAGCTCAAGTCAAAAGCTTTTGCTACTTGTTCCAGGTTACTCATAACTGATGTGTCAAATTTGTCAGCCTAATGACTGGAGAAGCACCTATTATATCTTTAATTAGTAGGGAATATGACAATAAGAATGGCAGTTTTATCTACAGCAGCTTAGAAGACAGATTCAAGCACAAGAAAATGAATAATATAAATGGTAAAAATCACCACTGACAATTCAGCAAAGCCAACAAATCCATATAGTACATGCTAAAGTGCAGCAAATTACAATAGAGACAATATAATGAATTAACACATCAATATAACAGCATATTATCAACAAAAACAAAGATCTATTGAGCGTCTCCAATATACAACACTCTGTGCTGAAGAAATTAAGACAACGACCCAAAGCTAGAGCCAGAAGACACAACTAATAATAGATACGATCACAAATGAGCTCATGCAAAGGGTCTACTGATTGGCATAGTGATACCCTCAGGCAAGGATGTAGTATCTGAAATCAAGACACAGGAGTGGTTCTCTACGAGATGATGTTAAATAAATTAAGAAAGTAAGCTCAAACTTCTCTCTTTGAGAGACAGCAAAAAAAACAAGAGGAAACAAAATAAAAGTGGTTGGAAGTGTTCCCTGAGTTCCATGAGCCATAAAGCTGTCCATGTACACACCCTCTGAGGTTAGTCACTGTGAGAGTGGACATCAATCACTGTGGTCACACTGGAAGACTCCCTCCAGGAAAGTTAAAAGGAGAAATAAAGACCTAAACAGTGCCATACATCAAACCCATGAATCTGAGAACAGGGTGGTAAAAGATGCATTTATGGTACAAATTAATCCAAATGACCAAGAAGGGCAAATGTTTTCCACATGTACACTGTGTGTCATAACGTACTCTGTGACTGTGCATAAAATAATAGCACACTTTGCCAGAAAGGTCATTTTATTTATCAATTCAAAACATATCCATGCAGATTTGCAGCATGCCAATATATTCAACATTTTACTTAACATTAAGACATTTTATTCACTCCTGTTCTCAGGCCCTTTGATGAAGTGACATTTCCTGACATTTTCTGACACTTTCTCACAGTGGAGTAAACTGACATTAAGTCAGATTTCGCTGGATTATTACATCTTATAGATTAGAAAAATTCTGGTCATTCATTCAACAATCGTTGACGAGGTGCCTCACCGTTCTCATTCTTCTCCTGGTTACCAGCATTGCAGTGGGTTTATGCCACTTCCCTAAACAAACAAGGTTAGAAGTCTCATTGACTTCTGGGATGGATATGAATGCCTCATCCTGGCTTTAAAGCACTTCTCCAACATGTCCGCAATGCATGTTTCCTACACAATGTTTGGTATAAATTTCAAACACCACATTCTTCACGAACATTTTCACATTTCTCCTGAACTAAATGTTGTCGTTCCTTATATGAAATATATTTTTTGCTCTTTTATAGAACATTGTGTTTTGTTTCTGGTTAAATACCACTTTATGTTGACCACCCCCAAGTCCTTAGTGGATAACAAATAGCCAATATTATTTTTCATGTATTTTGAGGATTGGCTAGGAGGTTTCTCTGCTGAGTTTGCCTATGGTCATGTATGTGTCTGCATTCAGCTGGGAGCTCAGCTCAGCAGGAAGGCTCCAGACGGTCTTATTCATGTCGGGCAGCTTGCACCAGCTGCTGGCTGGTGTGCCCTGTTTCTTTTTTTTTCAACCTGTTCTTCCATTCACCTATTGGCTAGACTACCTCATTCCATTGATAAAAGAAATAGAGAGAGCCAGTTTTCATTTAATAGAGAGAGCCAGTTTTCATTTAAGGACTGAAGAATGAATTTCACTTCTTGATGCGAAGGATGTAAGGCCACTTTTACTGTATTACACATTTCATATTTTGGTTGTGCTTTTATTCTTACAGGTCCTGTAGGTCAGGAACTCTGTTACCACAGTATCTCCTACATTGTCTGGCACAGTGATGTGTATGTTTTACTTAATAAATATTTATTTCACAGAATGTAAGGGTTGTCATGGTACTATCTATAAATAAATAGATAACAAAGACAAGTCTAGGCAAATATTCAAGACAGAAGCATGTTCTTAAAAACTGGAGAGGGCCAGGTGCAGCGGCTCATGCCTGTAATCCCAGCACTTTGGGAGGTTGAGGCAGGCGGATAATGAGGTCAGGAGTTCCAGACCAGCCTGGCCAATAAGATGAAATCCCGTCTCCACTAAACATACAAAAAGTAGCCGGGCATGGTGGCACAGGCCTGTAGTCCCAGCTACTCAAAAGGCTGAGGCAGAAGAATTGCTTGAATCCGGGAGGTGGAGGTTGCAGTGAGCTGAGATCACGCCACTGTACTCCAGCCTTGACGACACAGTGAGACCCTGTCTCAAAAAAAAAAAAAAAAAAGAAAAAAACTGGAGAAACTTCTCCAGTGCAGTGGCTCACTCCTGTCATCACAGCACTTTGGGAGGTTGGGAGCCCGAGGCAGGCGGATCACAAGGTCAGGAGTTTGAAACCAGCCTGGCCAGCATGGTGAAACCCTGTCTCTACTAAAAATACAAAAATTAGCTGGGCATGGTGGTGCGTACCTGTAGTCCCAGCTACTCAGGAGGCTGAGACAGGAGAATTGCTTGAACCCAGGAGGTGGAGGTTGTGGTGAGCCCAGATTGCGATACTGCACTCTAGCCTGGGCGACAAAGCAAGACTCTGTCTCAAAAAAAAAAAAAACTGAGAAACTGCTACTGGTAGCTAAACAGTCATTGTGAAAGTTAATTACAAGCCATTTCAATGTGCTCTGTCTGCTTTCTGCTCATAGAAATGCGGAATCTGTGTCCTTAAAAACAGATACATCTAAACTTATTTTAAAACATTATATCATTTAAATGCATTGTTTCCTTTCCTAATTTGGGGTTTGTCCACCAAACGAAATTGCAGTATAAGAAAATCTATAAATCACCTTCATATAAGATATGTAATTTAAAATAAACCTTCAAAAAAGTGAGAAACTGACTTATACACTATCATTTGAGCATGGATACATTTTCTATTATTACATAAACATTTTCTCAACCATATTGTCCTTTCTTAAACATTCCTTTAAAAGGAATTTCATGATGAGAATGCCATATAATTAATTTAATGCCTATATTTTTCTCACGTACATGTAATTACATACATATTTCAAATAAATACTTGGTTGTTTATTTTCCTTCCACTTAAGCATATTTAAAACAAAGTTGAATATTCACCTAATTTCCCCTAAACAAAATGAGCATTGGTATACAAGGGTAAAATGATGAAAGTCATATTTTTAACAATATTTCCTTATATGTGTCATCGAGGAAATTATCTAATCTTTTTTAGTCTCTATTTATTCATCTGTAAGATAGAAAATAGCAATTTTTTCCAGATTGCATACCTCTAAAACACTGTAATTCTCTATATGCCTCTTAGCTGTGTAACACACTAATACAAAATTAGAGGATTCATTAGCTGTTATTTTGCTACCCATCAGTTTCATTAATAGGAGCTTTACAATTTGGAAGGGGGGAAAATAGCACTAGATAATTAATGAACCAGATATTAAGCCTAAATATATATTCACACATTACTCAGCACACTAATAAACCAGCTAAGAGAAAAACATTGGTTGAGACTGTTTGCTCAAGTCATTCATAGTAGCAATTTTGTTTTTCACAGTTAATAAAGTTAATACCGAGGAGACACAAAACAAAAAAAAGGATAATAAATATGTATCTACAAAATCAGAAAAAAATGTTAAACCAAAACATAAGGAAGCAAGTTATGCTAGAATAAAAATGAAAGATAGCTTGCAAAGATATATTTTAATTATTAAAATCACCAGCATTCTTGTTTTCCTAAAGTATTTACACAAACTACTGTCCTCTGATCATGCTGCCATTTCCTCTCAATGTTCTTTTGTCTTCTAATCAAGAGAGTAAGACACCAGGCAACTTCCAAATTGTGGAATTCTAATTATACTTTCCTTACTGAAAGAAACCAAGACTCCTTGGGGACTTAGCTGACTTCAGGCTGGATCAAGTGATGTATAAGAGATATCTGAGATATCCTATTTTGACAGAAAACAAAGACCACTGTGTTCAAAAGACATAGTGCCAACCTGAAGACAAGCTCCCACTTTTCAAAGATAGAACTGTTTGAATAACAATAATAACAAATAACAACTGCAACATACAGAATTGTCAAATAATGTTTACTGAGTATATAATGACAAATTAAAAGAAAACGTCCAAAAATAATAGATGATGGTGAGGTTGTAGAGAAAGAGGAATGCTTATCTACTGCTGGTGGGAACGTAAACTAGTTCAACCATTGTGGAAGACAATGTGGCGATTCTTCAAAGACCTAAAGACAGAAATACTATTCAACCTAGCAATCCCATTACTGGATATACACCCCAAGGAATATAAATCATTCTATTGTAAAGACACATGTACACGTATGATCACTGCAACACTATTCACAATAGCAAAGACATGGAATCAACCTAAATGTCCATGAATCATAGACTGGATAAAGAAAATGTGGTACATATATGTCATGGAATATTATCACTTTGCAGCCATAAAAAAGAACAAGATCATATCCTTTGCAGGGACATGGATGGAGCAGGAGACCATTATCTTTAGTAAACTAACACAGGAACAGAAAACCAAATACCACATGTTCTCACTTATAAGTGGGAGCTAAATGATGAGAACACAGGGACACACAGAGGGGAAAAACCATACACTGGGCCCTATTAGAGGGTGGAGGGTGGGAGGAGGGAGAGGATCAGGAAAAATAACTAATGGGTACTAGGCTTAATACCTGGGTAATGAAATAATCTGTACAATAAACCCCCATGACACAACTTTGCCTATGTAACAAAACTGCACATGTGCCCCTGAACTTAAAAATTAAAAAAAAAACCTTAAGAATTATCTTTGGAAATTACTAGAATACCCACTCATTGTTATGAAAATTAGTAAATAGAAAAAATAATTAAGCACTGATCTTGCTTTCATCTCACATATTATATTTAGAGTAAGCAAATAATGCAAAATAGAAAAATCTATAAGTAGGCTATGGTCAGACTTCTGTAAACCAATGTTGTTGCAATAAATAGAACAGAGTAGTGTGTAAAAATGTAAGATTAGGAATTTTCTTGAAATCTTTGGGCAGAATTTTCTTAGTTTCTTTTAAGATCAAAATTTCCTAAATGTTCTTAATTTCCCTTCAGTGTGGATGTGTTCTTCCATCCACCCCTCCCAATGATAGAAGAGCAGGGACCTCAGCTCTGACCTATCCTATTGGGCTGCTTCCTTCCTCCATGTGAGTGTACTGACTCTAAAACGTCAGTTTCCTCCAGGAGTAACATGGAGAGCCTGACTGTGTTGTGTCCTTGTCACTTGTGTCTTCTTCCCTCTGTTTGTGAAAACAATCTTGAAATAGATTCCTGTAACGATTCTTGCTAAGTTTTAAAGTTGAAATAAATCTTTATGTGTTAGCTTAATAAATCTTTACTTATTTTCAAAGCACTTTCCTATAAATTATCTCATTTGATCATCAATAACGTTCTGAATAGTATAACTCAGTTGGGATGCTATCAGGAAGAAGTGGTTGTATTGAACGGTCTGCATATAAGATAGAAAGATATCCATTGGAGAGAGGGAAAAAAAATAAGAAAAAGAAATAAATATGAGTGGAGTATAAAAATAACAGCTTGATGGAAAGTGAAAGAAATAAAAAGATATAGGAGGTTCAACATAAAATGAGAGAAATCATGAGGAGGAGACATATAGATTGAGATCATCTATTGAAAGAGAAAACAGAAAAAAAGATATATGAAAAGAGAAAATAAAGATCAAGGAGGAAGGAATGGGATGGAACAGAAAAATGATAGATTTAATGAGTTCTGAAGTGTGTTAATCAAGTTAAACTGCTTATGCCTCATTGTGCCGTCCACTTAAGCTGTGACTATTAAAATAAGTTACAATCCATAATTTATTACCTCTGTCCTTTGAGAGGCTAATTAGCTTTCCTACAATTAAGCACTATTCACAACTCCTCAGCTGTTCTTATCAAACCTTCAACTGGCTATAAATGCACAGCCAAAGCAGTCCTTTGGGAGAGATGATTCCGTTGCAAAATTGTGTCAGAAAACACACTCATCAGAGCAGTTTTCTCAAAGTGTGGCCCAGTGCTTTAGCAATAAAGACACCTATGATCCTTATTAAAATGCAGATTATCCTGGGTGTTGCCAGGAGACACTAAATCAGAATTTCTGAAAATGGGGCCCAGGAAACTGCATTTTTAACAAGAATCTTAAGTGATTCTTATATACACCAAAGTGTCTTCTGTTAGAAGAAATAAAGCCAAGATTCAGACCAAGTTAATCATCTAAAGTGCTTACTGCTATCAGCTATTGGGTCTGGTACCTTTCAAAAGGAAAAAGAACAAAACGGTCATCTGCTAGTCCTGGTCATCAGTAAAGTGATTTCAAAGAAACACTATTCTTCTCTGAATTGTTAGGTCTTCATTAACTTCCTTCTGCACCAGGTTGACCAAATAAAATATGGGCATCTTTAAGGTTAAAGGAAAATTCAGCAATAAAGTCAGGAAGTGGACAAATGGCTGTAATTATGTGATGTTTGTTTCTTTCTCAAGTATTCATTCTTTGTCTTATTTAATTTCCTTATTTAACTAATCATGGGAAAAGATAAAAATAGGAGCAATGTCCCTCATTATGTTATCAATAGTTGCTGTGACTGAGTCCTCATTTCCCCAGGGAGATCAGACTGTGTGTCTTTAGCCCTGTTTGGGGATTTTTTTTTTGTCTTATTGTTGTTTTTTTTCAATGTCTCTCCATTCTATTTTACTCAGAGACTTAGATTCTTAGATCATTTATGTCATCACTAAGAGAGTTTATCAGGTCAAATAATGTTTTCCTTGCATTTTTTAATAACCCGTAGGTAAATAATGCATGCAATTTTCCCTGAAAGTAACATTTTCTTTGTGTATACTACATAAAAACAGCTGAAGGAAGTGAAGGATCCAGAGAGCATGCCGAAGAATATAAAATGGTAGACAAAAGAACCTTTATACTCCCTTCTCTTTGGCTTTAAAATATATATATATTTGCAATTCCTTAAGGGCTATAAAAGATTGATTGATTTTTACAAATCTTAAGGTATTACAAAGATTTGGCAGGGAACGTGGGGGATTAGATGTGGTTTTTGTTCTCTGCATATTGTTCAATTGAAAAATAAACACATAAATGAAAGAATGGTTTGATGAAAATACAAACAAACATGAGGTGTTTATGTTACTACAATTTCTATAATTTTACAGGTATATTAGTCAAAAGCTTTAATAAAATTGAGAAAAAGTAAAAGGCAGAATTTCTGATTATATCAAATGACTTTGACTAAAACTTCAATTAATAAGCTAAAAGAATAGGTCAAATAGGTACAAACAGTCCACAACATTATCTTTCTTCATGACTGGCCTCTTAAAATCCACCTTGAGGGGCAGGCAGGCTCTGTCCTGCACCTGAATGAAAGTCAATGGCAATCCCATTACTTTGGTGACTCAGAGACTGAATGTTCTCTAGTCACATCTGTATACAAGAACACTTTCAGTTTATTAATTAAATGTTCATTCTTGTGTAACAATTTTTAAAAATCCAAACTTCCTTCAATTTAAAATTTTGTGGCAATTATTTCCAAATTGATCTATAGATTCAATGTAACTCCTATTAAAATCCAATCAGGCTGGCCAGACGCAGTGGCTCAGGTCTGTAATCCCAGCACTATAGGAGGCCAAGATGGGCGGATCACTTGAGCTCAGGAGTTCAGTACCAGCCCAGGAAACAAGGGAAAACCCCGTCTACACAAAGAATACAAAAATTAGCTGGACATGGTGGCGCATGCCTGTAGTTACAGCTACTCGGGAGGCTGAGGGAGGAGGATTGCTTGAGCTGGTAAGGTCAAGGCTGCAGTAAGCAATATTTGTGCCACTGCACTCCAGCCTGGGTGACAAAGTGAGACTCTGTCTCAAAAAAACAAAACAAAACAAAATAAATCCTTTTAGGCTTTTTTACAGAAATTAACAAGCTAATTCTAAAATGTATATGAGAATGCAAAGAACTTAGAGTAAAGCAAACAACTTAATAAAAACAAAACAAAGTTCCTTCTTTTATGTTGATAAAAATAAAATTTAAAAAAATAAGATGTTCAACACCATTCGCCCTTAGGGAAATGTAGGTTAAATCCACAATGCGATACCATTACCACCGACTAGAATGGCTACAATCAAAACAACTGACAATATCAAGTTGGCCAGGATGTGAAGCAACTAGAACACTTATACAATGCTGATGAGAATGTAAACTGGTATAATCACCTTGGAAAACAGTGCTTACCATATGATCCACCAATTCCACTTCTAGGTATCTACCCAAGACACATGACCCATATGTTCACACAAAGACTTATACATGGAGTGTTCATAGCAAACAGTATTCATGATAGCCCAAAATTATAACCATTCTAAGTGTCCACTAACTGGTGACTAGAATAACAAATTGAGATATATACACAGTATGAAATAATACTCACAAATATGATAGTAGTGATCATGATAGTAGTGATGAGAGGTGAAAACGTGCTAGCAGCCCTGGCTCGCTTTCCGCGCCTCCTGGGCCTCCGCTCTGGCCACACGCCAGGAGCCCTTCAGCCTGCCGCTGCGCTATGAGGGCCCCTCTCTGGGGCTGGCCGATGCCGGAGCCAGCTCCCTCTGCTCACCGGAAGGTGTGAAGGGAGAGGTGCTGGCGGGAGCCCGAACTGCGCGCCGCGTTCGCGGGCAGGCGCGGGTTCTGGGTTGGCGCAGGCTCAGTGGGACCCGCACTCGGCTCGGCCAGCCGGCGCCTGCTGGACTTGATCAGGGACTAGCTCCCTCTGGGCTGCCTGAGCGCCGGGGCTGGGTGCCGCAGAGCCCCGGTGAGACGTGAAACCGGCTGGGCTTCTGGGTGGAGTGGGGACTTGGAGAACCTTTCTGTCTGGCTAAAGGACTGTAAGCACCAATCAGCACTCGGTGTCTAGCTAAAGGTTTGTAACGGCACCCAGCAGCACCCTGCCAAAACGGACCAATCAGCTCTCTGTAAAATAGACCAATCAGCTCTCTGTAAAATGGACCAATAAGCAGGATGTGGGTGGGGCCAGATAACGGAATAAAAGCAGGCCACCATGCTGTGGAAGCTTTGTTCTTTTCGCTCTTTGCAATAAATCTTTCTGCTGTTTACACTTTGGGTCTGGGCTGCCTTTATGAGCTGTAGCACCGAGAAGGTCTGCAGCTTCACTCCTGAAGCCAGAGAAACCACGAACCCACCAGAAGGAAGGAGCAACTCCCGATGCGCCACCTTTAAGAGCTGTAACACTCACCGCGAAGGTCTGCAGCTTCACTCCTAAAGCCAGGGAGACCACGAACCCACCAGAAGGAAGAAACTCCGGACACATCTGAACATCTGAAGGAACAAACTCCGGACACACCATCTTTAAGAATTGTAACACTCACACTCACCACCAGGGTCCCTGGCTTCATTCTTGAAGTCAGGGAGACAAGAACCCACCAATTCAGGACACAGTGATACAAGTTAGTAGTGATACATGTTACAATGTGGAAGAACTTCAAAGATATGCTAATGAAATAAGCCAGACATAAAAGATTACATATTGTATCACTCAATTGATATGAAGTTTCTAGAAAAGGCCCATGCATAGAGACTGAAAACACATGAGTGTTTGCCTTAAGGCTGGGCATTGAGTGGTTGCCTTAGGGCTGAGGTTGACAGAAAGAAACAAAAAAAAATTTTTGAGCTGGTGGAAATGTTTTAAATGTTTAGTTATGGTTGTGTAAGTCTATGAGCCTCCTAAAAATAACTGAAATATTTACTTAAAATAGTTAAATTTTATGATAGTAAATAAAACTGTTAACATATGTAGGAAAGTATAAATAAACCTGTCACCTCAATAAAACTGTTTTAAAAAGAAAAGTTAAGGCCACGTGTGTTGGCTCACACTGTAATCCCAGCACTTTGGAAGGCCGAGGTGGAAGGACTGTTTGGGGCCAGGAGTTCAAGACCAGTCTGGGCAACATAGTAAGACACTGTGTCTGCAAAATATAAATTAAAATCCTAGCAGAGTTTGGCAGAGTGTGTCTGTAGTCCCAGCTACTAAGGAGACTGAGGTGGGAGGATCACTTAAACCCAAGAGTTTGAAGATGCAATGAGCTGTGATTGTGCCACTGCATTCTGACCTGGGTGACAGAGTTAAACCCTGTCTCAAAAAAGTAAATAAATAAAATTAAATAAATAAATAAAAGTAGAATTTTTTTTTGGTCTTTTTTTTTTCTTGAGACAGAATCTCGCTCTGTTGCCCAGCCTGGAGTGCAGTGTCACGATCTTGGCTCACTGCATCCTCTGCCTCCCGGGTTCAAGCGATTCTCCTCCCTCAGCCTCCTGAGTGGCTGGTATTACAGGCACGCACCACCATGCCTGGCTAATTTTTGTATTTTTAGTAGAGACGGGGTTTCACCATGTTGGTCAGGCTGGTCTTGAACTCCGACCTCGTGATCCTCCCACCTAGGCCTCCCAAAGTGCTGGAATTACAAGAATTTGTTTGTATGTCTACCTCAGGATATCTGAAGGTTGAAAGTCTGAAGTGAAAATTGGAGACATAGTGGGCATTTCCCTTTTTGTTCTAACTCATCCCCTAGATGGGAATTAAATGGAGAGGAAAAAGATACGAGTTGATCCAGTGTTGATGTAGACAGAACATGAATGATCTTTAATGAGAGCTGTTTTTTTTGTCAGGTGCTTTATGGGCTTTTTTACACATCCTCACGTCCTGGGGCCCCTCACCAGCACTCCTCTCATCCAAATGGCACTTTCGGTTAACCCCGTTGACTACTCTTGGATCCACTGCTACATCTGTTTGGCGTCCTTTATGTTCCAGTGGACATCTTGAGAAAAGTCCCTCTTGGATTGAAGAATGTCTTTCTTCAGCAGTCAACCTACAATTTGGTCCACTGGAAATATTCATCTTTGACCCACAGCAAAACCCATCAAGATTTTTGAGTGGTCCTAGGAGGCTCCTGCCCCTGACTTGAAATAGGAGAAAATATGACTCATCCTCCCCTCACCCTAACATGGGGGGATGTTAGAACTCTCAGCTCATTCTTCAGTGTCTACATTTATTTGGCCAGATAATGGCTCTGCTAGGGTTCACAAAAACTTTTCTTAAACATCTTTTTTACAAGTTCTGATTAAGTGAGCTAGAACCTCACTTTGAAATGTGAAACTCTTAACCACCCATTTTCTTGGAGATTAGCCTAAACTGAGGCAGAAAGTCCCATTTTAACATACTGTTATACTATAATTTATTTTTTAAAAAGGACAAGTGGTTTTAAACTTTTGCTACAACATAAGCCATTATCCTCATTTCACCTATGTATAAGTAGGGGGAATTCAAAAAACTTAAATATGTTTCCAATGGAATAGTAGGCTTTCCTATGAATTACCACAGATTAAAAGGAGAAGACAAAGTTTATTTCAAAAGTCTTACAGAAATTTTTCTTTAGAGTCACAGAAGCCAGGAAAGTATGCCTACCTTATATAAATAAAAGCCCTGTCACAACCCATTTTCAAAGAAGATGTATAGCAGGATCCAGCAGGGGTTTGCATCTGTTTCATGTGTGCTGGCCTTCCTCTGTAGAAGCTCTCAGCTGTGCAATCAAACACATTTTCACTCACCAGGGGAGATTAAAATCCATATGGTTTACTTACTACTTGTCCTTGGACAGAATCCTGATGAGAACAGTGTAAGAGACCAAACAGCTACAGATTTCAGACAGGCTACTTGAATAAGATCTGACTGATTGTTTGGAAACAGTGTTTATCATTGCATCAAATATCTTTTAACAAATGCCAAGAAATGACTCCACTTGCAGAGTTCAGTTAGTTGGACAAAGCCCGGAGTAATTTCTGTTCCATAACACCTTGGAAAGTTTCAGAGGTTTCATGTAAGACCCAACTAACGTAGTATTGAAAATATATTAATGGATCTAAAAGTTCTGAATGTGACCAAACTTATCCATTTCTTGATTATGTCAGAGGCGTCCATACCAGAATGACTCCATCTTGAATAGAGACCCAATAAAGTGAGACTTGCTGGGGGATATTCCCACGAAGTTAGGTACTCTTGGTGACAAGATGTTTATGGTTGAGGGAATGAGTTAATGATGCTAACTAACTAAATAAGACCCCTTAGGACAAAAAGAATTCTATTTTTGGTTTTTTTTTTTTTTTTTTTTTTTTGAGGAGGTGTCTCGCTGTGTCGCCCAGGCTGGAGTGCAGTGGCACGATCTCAGCTCATTACAAACTCTGCCTCCCAGGTTCACGCCATTCTCCTGCCTCAGCCTCCTGAGTAGCTGGAACTACAGGCACCCGCCACCACGCCTGGCTATTTTTTTATATTTTTAGTAGAGACGAGTTTTCACCGTGTTAGCCAGGATGGTCTCCATCTCCTGACCTTGTGATCCACCCGCCTCAGCTTCCCAGAGTGCTGGGATTACAGGCGTGAGCCAATGCGCCCGGACAAGAATTCTTAATTTAAGAACAGGTTTCGCTTTAAGATAATAGAATAACCATAAATTCTTGTTGAAATCAATAGTTACACAAGAGAATAAAAATACTAATAGCCTGTCACAGGCTGATCACAAGCCTTTGTAATAAAGCGCATTATTCTTAACTCTAATATCCTATATAAGTAAGCATTATATTTTTGGAAGTGATGTTTCTCATCTTGCTCTCTGAGGTCACCCTACTCTGTAATAGTCTCTAATAAACTATGCTAAATTTACTGTATTCTGTAACACGCCCTGAATTTTTAGCTGCGTGAGATCCCAAGGGCTCTTGGGACAAGACCCCTTTTCTGGTAACAATTAGATCTAGAATTTCACTAAACTATAAAGGGAGAATAAGCAAAATGCTCTTTACAGGGTCATTATTGGTTAATTCATCTGTTTACCTTGATATAAAATAAAATAAAATTTATCTAAAATAAAACAATTCATTTTTGGTTAATTCATCTGTTTACCTTGATATAAAATATAATAAAATGTATTTAAAATAAAATAATTCATCTGTTTACCTTGATATAAAATAAAATTGTTAATATTTGTCATGTTACCTCTCACGTGGTTGTGAAAATTACTTAAAATAACTTATAAAAATGTTTCAAAAACATGAAGTGTAAAATGGGAAGAGATCACATTATAATATTCTGGGATAGTTGTTTCAAGACATGTCCATATTAAAATTTCATTGAGAAAATATTAATTAAAACAATTAAGTTTTTGTAAATATGTTTGGCAAATATCACTTACGAAGTGATTACACACAAGAAGCTGCCTATGGTTCAGTAGATGTCTGCTTACTATTTCCTCTTATCCTTCACACGTCTCACTTATATGTAGGGTATCCCAGCCTTCAGTAAGATCCCACTGACTCCTCTAATTTATTGTCTCTTGTTATTCATGCCAGGTTGATCGATATAGCAAAATGAGGCCATTTAAATTATGCATGTGGAGATTGTTGCTATGTTAATTACTGTGCTACCCATGTATGGAAAGCATGAATATTGTTCTCTATTTCTGCTTTTACTCTTCAAGTTTCTCAGATATAATGACTTCCTCTTTATTTGCAAGTGTGAATTCAAGAGTTACTTAATGAGATAGATCAAAAAACACATTTAATATTTCATATGGGATTTTCTCTTATCATGTTCAGTGCTGATAATAGCTGGACTTGTATTTCATGTATGAATGTATTTATTCCTTAAAACCTTGTGTAGTACATAACCATTATTATTCTCATATTATGAGTGACTAAACTAAAGAACACAGAGTGTCAAGTAACTGCAGACACAGGCTGTGTACATAACCAGTATATTGAAGAACCCATATTTAAACCCATTTATCTAATACCAAAGCTGGGTTCATTCAAGACATCCAAGAAGCAGACACCAAGACAGAATAAAAAACATAAGTATTTTATTTCAGAAATTGTCTATGGTAAAATGAGAAAGAAGTCAGAAAAGAATTGGAGAGATGTCAAACTACTATATAAGTCATTACAGAATTTTTAAAAAGGAAAGAAAAGGGTGGATGCAAGTGATCTGGACAGCAAGGCAATCTAAGGAAGGTTTGGCAAGACCATCAGACAGTCCTCAGGCCAAAGTTGCCATTAGAGGAGTTCCCTGTCTCCCAGGACAGGGCTTCCCTTTAGCTCCCTACTGTGCTTAGTCAGTAACCAGGAGCAGCCAGTGGGAGGTGTGTGTCAGTGCAAGTGAAGCCGTGAGTTCTTGAACACAGCATCTGTGGCCCATGGTCCATTATGCTCCCTATCTCTCAAGTTCCATATGGCACATTCTCGGGACTGTCAACACATTCTTAAGCACTACATTATATTGTCCACAAGTCTAAAGTAGGGTGAAAGGACAAAGATAAACCAGAGAGACCAGTTCCTGACACTAAGTTCTAAGACCAAGTTTAGTAAAAGTGGGCAAGATGCAGTAGTGAATCCGGTATAACACAGATTCTAGAAATCCTTGCACATTTCTCCAGGTGAGAATTAGAATTTTAAATAATTCCTCTTTATAAGTCCAAATACATTATGCGTGAAAGGTAATATACAGTTTGGATATATCTCAGATCTAAAACATGAGCCTGCAAGAGTTTGACATACCTGAGAAAACTGACCATTAAGCACTCAGGAATGTGCTGGGAATGTCCACAGTTACTTGCATCTAGTAAGAAGTTAGGCACGTGGCCAAGTGCGGTGGCTCACGCCTGTAATCCCAGCACTTTGGGAGGTAGAAGTGGGTGGATTACCTGAGGTCAGGAGTTCAAGACCAGCCTGGCCAACATGGTGAAACCCAGTCTCTACTAAAAGTACAAAAATTAGACGGGCATGGTAGCACACACCTATAATCCCAGCTACTTGGGAGGCTGAGGCAGGAGAATTTCTTGAATCTGGGAGACGGAGCTTTCAGTGAGCCAAGATTGTGTCATTGCACTCCAGCCTGGCGGAGAGAGTGAGCCTCTGTCTCAAAAAAAAAAAAAAATAATAATAATAATAATAATAATGTACACATAGCCACAGACTCCAAGGCAGTTGGGAAACGTAAGAAGAATCTAAAAATTCCCCTGGAAGGAATAGCAATGGGTGTTGAAGAACCTTTTGGGACCTCCACCCCATCAGATGATACATCTGCACCAGGAGGCCTTGGGGGCTTTGAAAGCAAGGGGGCTTATTTCTCTTAAGGAGATTTTTCTCAAGTCTTTTCAATTGCACAGTTACCTAAGCATAGTAAGTTATATTATTTACATGCTTATAAAAATATATCTTTAAAATGAGTCCATTGGCATGTTTCTGTCAATTATTTTCACCATGTTACACTACAACAACCGTGATTTTTTTTTTTTTTTTTTTTTTTTTTTTTGAGATGGAGTTTTGCTATTGTCGCCCAGGCTGGAGTGTAAGGGCACGATCTCGGCTCACTGCAACCTCCACCCCCCGGATTCAAGTGATTCTTCTGCCTCAGCCTCCTGAGTAGGTGGGATTACAGGCGCACACCACCACATCCGGTTAATTTTTTTTGTATTTTTTAGTAGAGATGGGGTTTCACCATGTTGGCCAAGCTGTTATCGAGCTCCTGAACTCAGGTGATCTGCCCACCTCAGCCTCCCAAAGCGCTGGGATTACAGGCGTGAGTCACTGAATTTCACAGGCATGAGCCTGTGAATTTTTATACTAACCAATTTAACTTGGAAGTGAAAATTCAGAGGTCATGCAAGAAATGTCCATGTAATTAACTACCTTAGAAGTCCCCATTTTCTTCTACCTGGACCACTGTAATGATTTCTTACCAGATATTCCCACTTCAGCCTCATTCCTACTACAATCTATCATATACACTGTTTTCAGGTGAATCTTCTAAAGTAGCTACATATAATGGAAACTGAATACACAAGGATCTGAATTCCAAGCTTTTCTGATTCCTTGTGTGACTAGGAATGTCACAAAAGAATCATTCTGACACTCAATTTCCTAATTTTCAAAATGCAAACAAGATGCTTCTGTCAGTTATTAACTTATTGTCCTTTAGCTCCAAATTTACCTTTCTTTGTTGGCTCCTACTCCTGGACTCGGCCAGCTAGCGTGATGTTAAGCTTTATCAGTAGAGGATGCTAGAGGGACACTGGAGGTGATAGGGGTTTCTCTTCCTCATTCTGATGTGGTTCTATCCCAGGTTCCTGCAACACACATGGATCCCATGGTACCCAACTCCTGCAGCATGTGGCAGCCAGTAAGTAGTACCTGATGGCCAGCAGCTTGCAGCACATCTGCACAGGCAGCTTCCTGTGGCACTAGAGCAGCTTTGCAAGTGGTGCCAATGTCTCCATCCATCCTTGTGAACAGCATTCCCCTGTAACCCTTTCCACAGCTTTGCCCATGAATTAGTCCCCACCCCCTTTCCCAGGGGTTCATTTTTCCTGGTTTCAGTTACCTGCTTTTCCAGATACCCATGGTCAACCATAGTCTGAAAATATTAAATAGAATAATCTAGAAATAATTCATGTTTTAAATTGCACGCTGTTCTGAGTAGGGTGATGAAATCATGCTCCTTCCCCCTGGGATCCAAACTGTATACATATACTAGCTTCCCACTAGTCATCGACATCGTTGGCTCCTGACATCCAACCGTCATCATTGTTATAGTTCAATGATCCAGAATCACCCAAAGCAGATTATCCTCCTTCTGATGTATTGTCAGAAGGTCAATAGGAGCCTAAGGCGACACCACAATGCCTATGTCATTTACTTCACTTTATATCATCATGTAGGCATTTTATCATCTCATGTCATTACAAGAAGAAGGGTGAGTACAGTGAGATAGACTGAGAGAGAGAGAACACATTCACGTATTACAGCATAACATGATAATTATTCTATTTTATTATTAGTTATTGTTAATACCTTACTGTGTCTAATTTATAAATTAAACTTTATCATAAGTATGTGTGTATAGGAACAAACATAGAATATATGGGGTTCAGCACTATCCATGGTTTCAGGCATCCACTGGGGGGTCTTGGAGTATATCCCCCCATGGATAATGGGCAACTACTGTAGTTCTAATTCTCAGGACTTCCCCATGAGCAACTTCCGCCATTACCCTGGAAGATAAATACCCCAGTGAGTCCTGCCATTGCAACACTTCAGCCAACTTATCCACCATCAAGTGAGACACAGTTGCACCATTTCCAGCAAGTTCTGCATCTCAGTCCTGTGAGAGAAACTTCGTGCAGATTTGCCTCTTTCTTGTGTGCTGGGCACCCAGAAATAGGGGTAGAACCCTTCTACCTGTATCTGCTCTATTTAAATTCTTTAGAATTTTCTTTTCCCCTCACCAGCCAGCCCCATATTATAGTTAGTAATTCTTATATTTAACTTTCCCTGTCTAATTTACTGTGTGATTTCTGTCTCCTAATTGGAACCTGATTTATACAAAAGTATTAACCATTGTCATAGGATTGTCCATTGAATAGAGGGTTTAAGTTATAAGCACGGTAGCATGTATATGGTAAAAGTGCTTAGTAAATTGTCGATGTTAATATTATTAATGAAATTTAATCCTGACAATGACAAGCACTAGTAAGTCAAACTGTAGAACTCACATTTTGCAAACACACTCCATGTTTCCTCTTTCTCTGTCTTTGCTCATGCCTATACCTCAGCTTAGATTGCCTTTGAACCAATCCTTCAAAATTAAGAACCTTTGGAAAAATACTAAAATTTTAGCCTAGGGTTATTGAGTCCAAATACAAGGAAACCTTGATTTCAAAGCAAATGTTCTTAGTGGCAATAAATTCATTTCAATCTAACAAACATTGTTTCAATACTTTGTATATGTCAAGCATTATGCTAATCATAACAGATACTGAAGAAGAATAAGACTTCTTTCCGCCCTCAAGTCATTCATGTCCCATTAGTATATATAGAATTGATGACAAAAAAAGTTATGATAAATTCTAATGGGGGTCACAAATTTATTCACATTGCACTTAATGTGAACAGATCATAGATGTCCTTTTGTCTATAACTGATCTTACTTTCTGAGTAGCTCATATGCTGCTGAATAGTAAACATAAATATTAAATTTTCCCATCATAGTAAAATGTTTATCTTATGCCTTACTCTCTTTTAAAACTTCGTCTCTTATCTATCTAAATAATGCTTCAGTTTACAAGCGTTCCACTCCAAGAAGACATCCAGGTTTACTAAAGGTAGTTTACTTGACTTTGCAGCATTAGAACAAAGAAAACTCCCTTGCCCTGTACTGATTCTTGTGTCTGTGCTGGCTGGGGTTTTGAGGTATTGGTACCAAGATTCCCATTCTTGTGGAATATGTTGCTTCCTGCTTCTCAACTACTGCCTGGAATAATGTGCGGCTTTTGTCTCTACTTGGTCTGAGGTCAGATAGACTTTCTGTCTGACTGGGCCCCACCTCAGTACTCTAGCTGGCATTACATATATATTCTGATTCTCTTCCCTGTCCACCACAGGTTCTTAGACTTAGACATTCTATCTATCATACAGCCTTTGCTATATCTCTCTCTGAATCATCTTGGCTCTCATCCATGGAATGTCCACAAACTCTCAGCTACCTGCTGTAATGCCCCTGATATGGGACAAGTAGGAAACTCTGGGTGTCTTAAAACCAAAGAGAACCAAAAGTAACTCAATAATACTAAATAGGTACCCTCTGTCTGGCTACAGAACTTTGTAAAGAGTCCTCTGCTCTTTACAGGAATATCATGGGTTGATTCCAGACCTTGGTGTACTACCAGTTGTCCCTCTGAGAGTCCTAAAATCGAAGAGAAGGCAAACCCTCTCTGGCTTCAATGATCCCCTCTATTACCTAAAATACTTTTCCATGCCAGGGTTTTATTTTAAAGGAGTGAGGCTTCAACTCACACATCTCAGCCAGGTGTTTCTCTTACCTCTGCTCTCTTTTGTCCACATAATTCTCTGTGGCCAGAAGAAGCACATATTTACTTTGCTTTTTTTTTCTTCCCTGAGAGTTCATCTACATTGCATTTTTTCCAGCTTCTCTCACATAGAAAAGTCTTATGGCAGGCAGAAAAACTGGCTTACTAATAAAGAAAACACAAAAATGTTCTACATATTACATCACTTTTATATTTCAATAGAGTTTGGTTATAATATTCTCTTCTCGATATTTCCCAAAGACTGAAAATTTTCTGGTGCTCTTTGTTTACCTTAGAGAGAGAGAGATGCCACAGATTACATCCGAGTCCTTTTCTTCCTGATTGCCTGCCTCATTGCCTCAATGACATTCCAGCACCTGGCACTAGTCATGGTATTACCCTGACCTTTTGAGCCAGAAACAGATTTAAGAATCTGGTTTTCTCTCTTGATGTTCTGCTAGCAAGAGCGTCTTCATTTCTCTCTATATACTAAATGAAGAAACAGAAATAGCTTGGGCACAAACTTAAAATAAAATAAATGTGTTTTAAATAGTTAAAATACTGTAGCTCCATTTCAGAGATACACAAAAAGTACTTAATGACCCCAACACAATCTCCAAAATAATTTGACCTAATTGTAAAAGGACATAAACTAAAAGGATTATGAAAGATAAAAAGGAGGTATAAGTTAACCTGGTTGGGGAATGTTCTTGAAGTCAGAAATCATGTTTTATTTGTCTCTGTATTCTTCATAACACCTAACATAGTTCCACATGCACTGTAGAAACAGTATTTGTTGAACTGAAGTTCATGGAATTAATGTGTCATACTTGGTTACATATTGAATAGTAGAAATTAAAGTCATTCACTGACCCCTTGATAATATAAAAACATATTCATCTGCAAAAACTTCTCACAAAACTCAGGCAGAACCTGAGATGTTTTGAAAAGCTAGGCTTATTTTTATTTCTTCTAAAAATGAAACCACTTAAATTTAAAAGGTTTACATGGCTGCCACTGTGTTTGGTTTCTACACCCCATTTCATAAACATTTTCATGAACCTTTGCTTTTGTTTGCTTTCTATTGAAGGGAGTCTGGGGTTTCTTTGAATGGAAAAAGAGAAGAGCAGTCATTGTTGCATGCACAGTTCAAAACAGCTTTTTTTTCCTGACTGATTCTGTAGTCACAAGAAGCATATCACTGCAGGTGGTTGTGAGTCTGAGATTCAGCTTGAGGGAGAACAAATCAATGTTTCACTTTAAGGAAAAATAACTAGCTTTAGGCAAAAAATAAAATTCAGGACAATAAATGAAGGCAGTATATATCATGTTCAGAAATTATATTAGTGACTCAACAAGGAGCTGAGGAATTCAACACTGTGATACAGTCATCAAACTTTCATCTAAGCTTTCTTTGTCTGAAACAGAGTTTGGAAATTTAGCAGAAAATGAAATACCCCAAAAAGCAATGTGATCAAAACTCTGTCATACTGATCAGAACAGATCATCTACACAGGAACTAAATAAGCATGATTTAACTGTATTACTTACACACCACAGAAAGAGATTGAGCTGATTAGAGATTATCCTGGGAATGCTTTTGGAATAATTTAATTAACGTATTCAGGTACAGTTTTAAAATACATAAAGAGAAGCAGTAGAATGAAAATATTTACTATATTATAGAATGCAGTACTATCTGGGAATAAATAGAGAAGCATACATTTGTTTTTGTAGCATAAAGAAGTTATTAGAATTACATTTATGATACTAGAAAAAATATAAATTAGGTGTAAGAGAAGGCAATATAGCATAATAGAAAAGTATCTGCTTTTCATTTGGATGAAGTATCATAGGCTGCAATTGGTAAAAATCCAAAAGTTACATTTTTTATCAAGTTGAGGTAAAAGGGACCTTTATATGTTGCTAATGGGAATGCAAAATGATACAGCTCTTGTAGAAGAGAATTTCACCATATCTAGCAAAATCATAAATGCTCTAATTTTGACCCAGCAATCTCTCTTCTATAAATCTATCCTAAATATATAAGGAAAAAAATTTTAAAAATATGCAAATGGCAATGAATTAGACCATTATAATTTACTATCACAAAATATTGAAAATAACCATTAATGGGAAGCTTGGTGAACTATTTCATAAGTATACAATGAAGTGTACATATTTGTAAAAGAAAAAAACTAATAACTAGCCATATAGTGAAGTGAGTCAGCTCCAGTATATATTTCTAAGTGGAGAAACCAAAAAAGAGAAAGTTTGTACAATATGCTACAACTCATCTAAACTTTATTTTTTATCATTCTATTAATATTGGCTTTTTAATGGAAGGCTAATTCATTGATTTTTAAAACTTTTTATTTATTTTTCTAATTTATCATGTGTTGTTCATTATGTTTTTATCTCAAGCTACTTGTTCCAGTTTTGTCTATCTCCCCATTTAGAAAGTTATTACGCTAGGATTTTTACCTTCTCTCTTTTTACCTCAATTTTTTTGTTATGTGTATTATTACTTTTACATTGTTCAGATTTTATCAATTTTTTTTTGTTTTCTCTTTTTTAATTTCAATTTTTATTTTAGATTCAGGAGGTACATGTGCAGGATTGTTACAAGGGTACACTGTGTTGTGTTAAGGTTTGGCGTATGATCGAACCCATCACCCACGTAGGGAGTATAGTACCAAATAGCTTTTCAACCCTTTCTTTCCTCCTTCACTTCCCGCCTTATGATCCCCACTGTCTACTGTCCCCATCTTTATATCTATGTGTACCTACTGTTTAGCTCCCACTTATAAGTAAGAATATGTGGTATTTGGTTTTCTGTTACTGTGTTAATTCACTTAGGATAATGGCCTCTAGCTGCATTCATATTGCTGCAAAGGACATGATTTCAATTGTGCTCATGGCAGTGTAGTATTCCATGGTATATATGTACCACCCTTTTTTTTAATCCAGTCCTCCAATAATGGACAACTGGCTTGATTCCATTTCTTTGCTATTGTTAATAGCTCTACAATAAACATACTAGTGCATGAGTCTTTTTGATACAGTGATTTATTTTCATTTGGGTGTATAAACAGTAATGGGGTTGCTGGATTAAATGGTAGTTCTATTTTTATTTTTGATTTTTTTGAGATAGGGTCTCGCTCTGTTCCCGAGTTAGAGTGCAGTGACCTGATCACAGAAGCAATCCTCCCACCTCAGTCTACCAGGTACCTGGGACTATAGGTGCACATCACATGCCCAGCTAGTTTTTTTTTTTTTTTTTTTTTTCTATTTTTTTTTTTGTAGAGACAAGGTTTTGCCATGTTGCCCAGGCTGGTCTCAAACTCCTGAGCTCAAAAAATCCACCTCGGCTACCCAATGTGCTGGAATTACAAGTGTGGGCCACCATGCCTGGCCAATAGTTCTATTTTTAGTTCTTTGACAAATCTCCAAATTGCTTTCCACAGTAGCTGAACTAACTTACGTTCCCATCAATACTATATAAGCATTCCATTTTCTCCTCATCCTCACCAACATCTGTTATTTTTTACTTTTTCTAATAGCCAGTCTGACTGGTGTGAGATTGTATCTCACTGTGGTTTTTGGTCTGTATGTCTCTAATGATTACTGATGTGAGCTTCTTTTCATATGTTTATTGACCACTTGTCATCTTCTTTTGAGAAGGGTCTGTTCATGTCCATTGCTTACTTTTTACTGAACTTATTATTTTCTTGTTGATTTGTTTACATTCCTAATTCTGGATATTAGACCTTCATCAAATGCAGAACTTACTAATAATTTCTCCCACTCTGTAGATTGTTTGTTACTCTGTTGATAGTTTCTTTTGTTGCGCAGAAGTATTTCATTTAGTTAGGTCTCACTTGTCAATTTTTGGTTTTGTTGCAATTGCGTTTGAGAACTTAGTCATAAATTCTTTTATTATTATCATTATTATTATTATTATACTTTACTAGGGCACATGTGCACAACATGCAGGTTTGTTATATAGGTATACATGTGCCATGTTGGTTTGCTGCACACATCAACTCGTCATTTACATTAGGTATTTCTCCTAACACTATCCCTCCCCCAGCCCCCCAACCCCCAACAGGCCCCAGTGTGTGATGCTCCCCTCCCTGTGTCCATGGGTTCTCATTGTTCAACTCCCACTTGAAAGTGCAAACATGTGGTGTTTGGTTTTCTGTCCTTGTGATATTTTGCTAAGAATGATGGTTTCCAGCTTCATCCACGTTCCTGCAAAGGACATGAACTCATCCTTTTCTATGGTTGTATAGTATTCCATGATGTATATGTGCCACATTTTCTTTATCCAGTCTATTATTGATGGACATTTGGGTTGGTTCCAAGTCTTTGCTATTGTGAATAGTGCCACAATAAACATACGTGTGCATGTGTCTTTATAGTAGCATGATTTATAATCCTTTGGGTATATACCCAGTAATGGAATTGCTGGGTCAAATTCCCCAAGGCTGATGTCTAGAATATTTCCTAGGTTTTTTTCTAAGATTTTTATAGTTTGAGGTCTTAATTTAACTCCTTCATTCATGTTGAGTTAATTTTTGTATATAGTAAGAGTTAGGGGTCCAGTTTCCTTCTTCTGCATATGGTTAGCCAGGTATCCCAGCACTATTTGTTGAATAGTCAGTCCTTTCCTCATTGCTTATTTTTGTTGACTTTGTCAAAGATCAGTTGGTTGTAGGTGTGTGGTTTTATTTCTGGGTTCTCTATTCTGTTCCATTAGTCTCTGTGTCTGTTTTTGTATCAGCGCCATGCTGTTTTGGTAATTGTAGCCTTGTAGTATAGTTTGAAGTTAGGTAATGTCATGCCTACAGCTTTCTTCTTTTGCTTAGGATTTCTTTGGCTATTTAGGCTCTTTTTTGGTTCCATGTAAATTTTAACTTAGTTTTTCCTAATTCTGTGAAAAATGACATTGGTAGTTTGATAGAAATAATGTTGAATCTGTAGATTGCTTTGGACAGCATGGACATTTGAATGATATTTGTTCTTCCAACCCATTAGCATATATTTTTCCATTTGATTGTATTATCTATGATTTCTTTCAGCAGTGTTTTGTAGTTCTCCTTATAGAGATCTTTTACCTTGTTGGTTAGATGCATTCCTAGATATTATAATTTTTGTGACTATTATAAATGGGATTACATTGTTGATTTAGCTCTCAATTTGAATGTTATTGATGTTTAGAAATGCTACTGACTTATACATTAATATGTACATTGATTTTGTATCTTGAAACTTTACTGAAGGCATATATCAGATCTAGGAGCCTTTTGGTGGAGTTTAGGTTAGAATCATATTGTCAATTAAGAGACATAATTTGACTCCTTCTTTTCCTATTGGGATGCCTTTTATTTCTTTCTCTTGTCTGATTGCTCTACCTAGGACTAGGACTTCAGTACTATGAGGAATAGGAGTGGTGAGAGTGTGCACCCTGGTCTGGTTATGGTTTTTAAAGAGAATGTTTCCAGCTTTTTCCCATTCATTATGATATTGGCTATGGGTTAGTCATAGATGGCTATTATTACTTTGAGATATTGCTTCAATGCCTAGTTTTTTGAGGATTTTTATCATGAAGACATATAGGATTTTATAAGGATGATTATATGGTTTTTGTTTTTCATTCTGTTTATGAATAATGTGGTTTATGTGATGAATCACATTTATTGATTTGCATATGTTGAACCAGTCTTGCATGCAAGGAATACAGCCTAATTGGTGATGATGAATAAACTTTTTGATATGCTGCTAGATTCAGTTTGCTAGTATTTTGCTGAGGATTTTTGCATCTGTGTTCATCAGAGATATTGACCTGTAGTTTTCCTTTTTCATTGTGTCTTTATCAGGTTTTGCTATCAGGATGATGTCAGCCTCTTTGTACATCTGGCAGAATTTGGCTGTGAATCTATCTGGTACAGAGCTCTTTTTTTTTTTTTTTTTTTTTTTGGTTGATAGGTTTTTTTATTACTGATTCAATTTCAGAAGTTATTATTGATCTGTTCAGGATTTCAATTTCTTTCAGTTCATCCTTAGGAGGTTTGGAGTTTGCAGGAATTTATCCATTTCTTCTAAATTTTCTAGTTTTTGTACATACAGGTGTTCATAAGAGTCTCTGAGGATCTTTTGTATCTTTGTGGGATTAGTTGTAATGCCATCTTTGTCATTTCTGATTGTGCCTATTTGGCTCTTCTCTCTTTTTTTCTTTGTTAATCTAGCAGCAGTCTATGAATGTTGTTTTATCCTTTCAAAGAACCAACATTTTCTTTCATTGATCCTTTGTATGGATTTTTGGGTCTCAATTTTGTGCAGTTCCAGCCTGATTCTAGTTATTTCTTTTCTTCTGTTAGCTTTGGGACTGTATTGTCCTTGTTTTTGTAGTTCTTCCAGGTGTGATGCTAGACCACAAATTTAAAACTTTTCAACTTTTTGAGATAGGTATTTGGCACTATAAACTTTCCTCCTTACACTACTTTTGCTCCACCTGAGAGATTTTGGTATATTGTGTCTCTGTTTTTATTAATTTCAAAGAATTCTTTTATTTATGACTTAATTTTGTTGTCTACCCAAAAGTCATTTAGAAGTAAGTTGTTTAATTTCTATATAATTTTGTAGTTTGGGGGGATTTTCTTGGTATTTATTTTTATTTTCATTCCACTGTGGTCTGAGTGTATTGGTGGTATGATTTCAAATTTTTAAAATTTATTGAGACTTGCTTTATGATTCAGCATGTGGTTAATCTTGGAGTATGTTCCTTGTGGAGACCAGAAGAATGTACATTTTGTGATTGACGAGTGCAGTTTTCTGTAGATGCCTATTAGGTCCAAATGGTCAAGTGTCAAATTTAAGTCCAGTATTTTTTTTGTTACTTTTCTGCCTTCATGATCTATCTAACATTGTTAGTGGGGTGTCAAAGTACCCACTATTATTGTGTGACTGTCTAAGCCTTTTTATAAGTCTAGAAGTACTTGTTTTATGAATCCAGGTGTTCCAATGTTTAGTGCATAAATAGGTGCATATATGTTTAGGATAACTAAGTCTGCTTGTTGTATCGAACACTTTATCACTATGTAATGCCCTTCTTTGTCCTTTTATACTGTTGTTAGTTTAAACTCTATTTTTTATGATACAAAAATGATGACTCCTCCTCTTTTTTGCTTTCCATTTGTGTGATAGATTTTTCTTCATTCCTTTACTTTGAGTCCGTGTTACAAAAAGATGGCAATTAGACTGGAAAATTCCATCAAACAATCTTGTTGGCTCAACAATTGAATTATAAGAAAAACAAAAAGAAGGGAGGGGAGCTTTAGGTTAAAAATACCAAGTGCATCAACCACTTTCAATGTATTAATCTCATAATCCTAACTAAAACAAATAATTTGAAAAGGGAGAAATTTGAGCCCCTTATATTTAATATTAATAAATTATAATTTTTAAGTATAATCATCATACTTCTGGTAATTTCTCTAATAATTTTTTACTTTTAGACATGATATGGTTTGGCTGTGGCCTCGCCCAAATTTCATCTTTAATTGTAGCTCCAATAATCCCCAGGTGTTGTGGGAGGGACCTGCTGGGAGGCAACTGAATCATGAGGGCGGGTTTTTCCTGTGATGGTCTTGTGATAGTAAGTCTCACGAGGTCTGAAAGTTTTATAAAGGGCAGTTCCCCTGCACAGGCTCTCTTTTGCCTGCCACCATGTAAGACATGTCTTTGCTCCTCCTTCACCTTCTGCCATGATTGTGAGGCCTCCCCAGCCATGTGGAACTGTGAGTCCATTAAACTTTTTCTTTATAAATTACCCAGTCTTGGGTATTTCTCCATCGCAGTATGAAAACGGACTAATACAAGATGTAAGTAATATGAATATTTGCTTCAACATAAAACAGAAGGAGAGGGAAAGTAGGAAGAAGTGTTCATTAAATAAGACTGGTCAAGGGTTAATTATTGTAAGCTTGGCAATGGCACATGTGTGTTCATTATACTGCTATCTAGTTTTAAAAGTGTTTGAAAATTCTGGAAAAAGTTAATGTTGGTGCAAATTATTAGCTATGTGATCTACATAAGTTGCCTAGCTTCCCTGAACCGTATCTGGAAAAGAAGATGGTATTGTTTCCATAGCATAGTTATTTCATTAATTCTGACTTCCCTAATGTTTTAACTAAAGTCCACTAACATTAGCTTCTAACATAAAACTTAACAGAACCCTGCATGTGAAGTAAAATAAAAACACTTATTTTAGTAGGAAAGCAGAAACATTGAAACTCACGCAAATTTGTTATGGTCATGTATTATAAGATTCAAGATTAAAGCTCAAATCGAAAACCTATGTTTACAATTAAAAATATAAATATTACAATGTTACTTTAAAATTTCTCAAGTTTTAGAGTTTTTCTCTATTTCATGTGAAACAAAAGAAATAACTTCAATGAAGATAAGAAAGAAGCACCAAGGGTAGCAACAGATTTACTTAATGAATTTAAGCCCTATTATTTTACAAAGTACATACTTATACCCTGAGCTTTGCCTGAGAATTACCGTAAATGCCAAAGCTGTATATGATACACAATAATTTGTTTTAAGCTTACTCCTGTAGAGGAAAATGTGCTGAATGCATCTTTAAATAAAATATGTATTTTGAAGCTAACATTATACCAACCCTAGAGACATTGCAGGAACTTGTTTAGAAAGATTGGAAGTGACAGAGACAGTTTTTATGGGCATGGAGACAACATCAAAGCAAGCTGTGGTTCACCCTGTGACATTTTCACAGCAGCTCATCATAATTATGGATATAATAGGTGACTGGTCAGTTAACTCCATAAATTGTTGGCAGGAATGCCAAAAAATAATCCTCCTATCCCTCCCTCATATAACCTGAGGCAGCATGATATTCCATATTTTCTATCATTTTAATCAACAGTCACAAATTTTGCTCTAAACTAAAATCTTTCTAATTTCCTGCGATGTCATGACTCTCTCTCCTTTCAAAAAACTACCCTTCCAAGATTATTTTTAAAATAGCAGAAATAGTAATAGCTAAAAATTGGTGTTTACCCAATTTGTACTTCCAAAACCATGTGGGAAATGGACCATGTAGAGGGTAACAGCATTTTGGTTTGCTACTTTTAAGAGAATAGGAATTTTCAAGAACTCTTTGGTTTTCCCCTTTTTGCACTATTCTCATAGATCTTTACTGTAGTTCCTTGTAAGTTTTCCCAATTTAGGAGAGAAATGGGACGTGATATTTCTTTTTTTCCTTTCTTTCTGTCTTTTTTTTTTTTTTTTTTTTGACAGAGTTTCTCTCTTGTTGCCCGGGCTGGAGTGCAATGGCGTGATCCCAGCTCACCGCAACCTCCACTTACCAGGTTCAAGCAATTCTCCCACCTCAGCCTCCCAAGTAGCTGGGATTACAGGCATGCGCCACCATGTCCAGCTAATTTTGTATTTTTAGTACAGACAGGCTTTCTCCATGTTGGTCAGGCTGGTCTCGAACTTCTGACCTCAGGTTATCCACCTGCCTCAGCCTCCCAAAGTGCTGGGATTACAGGCGTGAGCCACCGCGCCAGGCGGGATGGGATATTTCTAATAGGATGTGGTAGCCCATGGGAAGGGTCAGAATTAAGAGGTAGATGGTAGATTTGAGCTGGGCCAAAAGGTTCTGAGCAAGAGTCAAACAAAAGTGGGATGTCACCACCTATGCCCCCAGATTATTTGGTTCTCATTTCCAGAAAAGAAAGAGGCAGCATCCTACTGAAGACTATCTGCAGCTAGAGCACCAAGCCAGTAACTCAGTGGCTAGCTGAGTGGACTGAGTGAAGAGGTGTGTATGAGTGACACATTCAGTGGTCTTTTCGTGCCTAAAAAGGCTCGGAATGAGGAAAGGATGTAACGCTTATGCTGAAGTCAAGCCTATTTTAGGTTTTTTTTTAGTTTTCCTCTTTCCAATCTCAAATTGGAAATGTAGTCCTTACTAAGAAGGAGGGAAGGAAAAAATAAAAGAAGGAAGCGAAAAAATGTAAAGAAATATTGATGAATAAATGTGAACAGAGTCCTTAAGGGAGAAATGAAAATAAAGGCAAAAGAGGAATACATAATTTCAGATAAAGCTATAAAATTTATCACAACAGACCCTGCTACTTTATGCAGTGTTCATAGTAGTTCAAAGTGATTTAAAAATTTAAACAAAGCTGTCTGATTCCAAAGCTGACCATTAACAACTTTTCTTTATGAAATTTAATAAAGGTAGTCATTAATGTATGATGTTTTAAGATTTTTAATGTCATGAAAAAAGTTTATGTAAAATCAAGAAAGATACTAAGTTTAATATAAAATATAGAATTAACTATGAAATTACATGTTAAAAGGTGACATAAATTTGTTAAAATATTAAAAGTTGCTATGGGTGGTTATTTTAAAGGTGCATTTTTCCCTAATTGTTTATATATTTTCTCATTTTTTAAATTTTTCTATAATAACATACTTTGCTTTTATTATGAGAAAAAATGTGCAATAATTGGTTCTATGCAGCCAAATTATATACGCTCAGATGGATTTTAATTGATGTTATACTACTTCTCAAAAACTCCATTTTATTTATTAAAGCTCACTACTCATTTTATCCAAAATCTAGTCAGTTTCTCTCTCCTAAAGGCTTCTGATCAACATGCCTAAAATCAAATTCAACATTTTATAAAACCAGTCATCATCTGTCTTGGCTTCCCTGTTATTGTTCATTTTCCTAATGCCTTAAGCAAAATCCTTAAAGACATCTTTTTCCCTTATGTCCTATCAGTGTCTAATTCCTATTAGAAAAATAGTAAGAAACTTTCTTTCAAATATCTGCCACATGCATTCTTTTCTTTCATTCTAAATGGCATCACTCTGTTTCATGTCCTTATCAAGTTGGCCTGGGTTCTGCACTAGTTGGACGCATTTACCATGCATTTATCAAAGTTATTTAAAGCACTGCCTTCGCCATGTCATTTCAATGCTCAACAGTCATCAAACACTCCAAAGTGCGTTATCAACTGTTTATCCAGGTACTGAAACTCCACCTCCTGCCCCAACCTGTTCCAACCAACTTTTTTGGTCTCAAATCCCATTACTTGGTTTCTTCATACCATCTGAACTCTAATTTCCTATTCATATATTTTACACTACATGACTGTGTTCAGTCTTTGAAGAGAGTCCTTAGACATTCTAAGAAGTGCCCAAGAAGAAAGTTCTTAGACACTCTAGACAAAAATGTATCTTCCAAGTAAATCTCAACAAATTATAGATAAATAGATGGATAGATAGATAGATAGGATCATTAACAGTATCAAGATGCAAAAAGAGGGTCTTGTTATTCCCCATTAACAAGTGGAGAGCCTGAAGCATAAGTAAATGATTTAACTAAGCTACGTGAAAATCCAGCATCTACATTGTTATAAATAAATATATTGAAAAGTACTAAGTTAGTATGAGTGGCCTTTTTCAATTGAGAAAGCAGATTCATCTTATGAAATGTTTCATCAGACATCTGTCTCAAATAAATATATTGTTATCCGCAGGAAAAGTATTGAAACCCAAATGTTGCATCAAGGATGATTAGAAACAATAAGTATTATTCCAAGTTCTTATTTCCATGTTGAGTTTAAAAAGACCGTGAAAGAAGATGAATACTCTATCCTGGAAACATGCTTATCTCTAACACCTGCTTATCTCAGTCACTATTTTGATATACACCTTGACACAAACAATACAACAGAGGTGTAATATACTGGGAACAAATAATTTGTATAGTGGCTTCATGGAAACACATTTGCATCAGAAGCAAACATAGAAAACTAAGAACAGATGGCCAGTGCAGTGGCTCACACCTGTAATTCTAGCACTTTGGGAGGCCAAGGCGGGAAGATCACTTGAGCACAGGAGTTCCAGGCCAGCCAGGGCAACATGGTGAAACCCCAACTCTACAGAAAATACAAAAGTTAGCTGGGTGTGTGCCTGTAGTCCCAGCTACTCAGGAGGCTGAGGAGGGAGAACCACCTGAGCCCAGGGGGTTGAGGCTGTGGTGAGCGTGATCATGGCACTGCACTCCAGCCTGGGCGACAGAGCAAGACTCATTTCAAAAAGTAAAGAAGGAAAGAGGGAAAGGGGGAAAGGGGGAAAAGGGGAAAGGGGGAAAAGAAGGGAAGGGAAGGGAAGGGAAGGGAAGGGAAGGGAAGGGAAGGGAAGGGAAGGGAAAAGGGAGGGAGGGAGGGAGGAGAGAGGTCCCTTTTCTCTACTTCTTTCTATTGTCATGACCTTAGAAAGTCAGAGTAGATGTATATTTATTTCTGTTCATTAATAAAATAATAAAGCCCAACCCTTATTTTATCTTCCATCTTACAGTCAAATTCTTTGCTATTCTTTTCCTTACTGAGTCCAGCAATCAATTTTCATGTAAATGGTTTGTGGGTATTGTTTGGGGCTCTAGGAAGCCTCTAAGCATCATATACATTTTTTAAAGTAATGAATGTTAAATTACTTTAGTAACTTTCACTTTTAAAATATAGCATCATTCCATATTTTCCTCCTTTTTGCCTAACACCGTCTTGTGTTTTATAGTTCTATTTTCTCTTAGAAAAAATGAATACAGAGTTAACATTAATCAAATCTATGAAGTTCAATATAGATTTATGAAATCTTATTATGAAACTTAAAATTATGTACCTATTAACTCAGCAAGGTTCTATTTTATTTTCAAGAAAATATTAATTTTGTCCTTTTTATAACAATATTTTAGACTACAAATTTCCAAAAAAATTCAAAGGAGTTATAGTCCTTTGCTTCAGCTATCAAATCAAATGTACATACATCCTAACAAAGAGAGAATTCCAGAAAGGGATATTTAATAAATTACATTCTGATTATCTTTTTTCATATCAAAAAACACAAAGTATTTGGGTATTACATAAAATCACAGATACAATGTGATAAAATTTAAACATATTTTTTAATTTCAAATTTTTGCGGTGACTTTAACTGTAAATGAAATATAAAACATGTAATGTATGCTTTCCTATTTCTATATAGTCTTCATAAAACTTTCTAATAAGTTCAATCTTACCTTATTTTAAATAATTAAAATAAATTATTTTGTTATTTAATTAAATGATTAAAAATGGGCAGATGCAGTAGTGACTACTTTTGGTCATAGATGAAGTAGTACACAACAGGCTTTAAAACGTTACTTTCCTGCCCGCCACAAACTCACCTTCTAAGAAATTCCATTATCTGTAGCAGTCAAGAGCAAGGACCATTTGGTAGGCCTGAGGTCTCATTACCAGATTAAATATCTTGATTGCCCTAATCAGCAGAATATTTAGAAGCTGACAGTACAGAAGAGGTAGGCACAAAGAACAGAAACATCCAGGAGTCAGGCAAGATGGATTAGCAGTAGATTTGCAGGGGGAGGGGGAGCTTTGGCAGCACATCCCCAGTGGCCTCTGATGATAAATACTTAGTTTATGAGGCACACCTCCTATTTGAAGCTATTATCATTTGCCCTGGGGTGCTCTTCTTTCCTGATTTCCTCATTTGGTTCCTTCTTTATCACTTTTCATGTTAGGATGTTTATAAATGTTTCTTGTGAAAGGTATTTGAAAAGTGAAGGAACTATGTGTAGAACGCTCTCTGTTCTTCAGAGGAAAGGTGCCATAAAATCTAATACATAAATACTAAATCAACTCAACAGATGTTGACTTTTTCTTGTCAGACAGAGACTTTAAACTCCTGATTCAAAAATCTCTCTAACAGAATAAATAAACTAAAAGTGAAAATCAATTTGTCAACCTTACCCAAGGACAAAAGATAAAAACTTGGATTAAACAGAATTATCTATATTCTATCAAACAAGATGAGACAAAAAACACCATTTATGTCTTCAAAGTAGATCTGATAATAAAAGTACATAAATATCCTATTCTGTGTGCAGAATAGGATATTTTTCAAGTTGCATATTCTGTACAGTAAATGAAAATTAATAAACCCACATCATATGTTTTTCATGAGATTCTGAAAATAATTTAACACATCTTTTAAAAAAGAAAACAGATACTGAATATTATCCAAAAAAATATTAAAGTCTAAGCACTAATTGAGAATCAACTTACAATTTCTTTTCTAAAAGAGCACTGTCTTCTGGCATTAAAAACAGAACATTAGCCAAGAAGGAGACATAATCCTTGTACCAAAAATTGGAGTATGCCCTCTGGAATTGTAAGTTAGCTATCCAAAATTGTTTAAAATGTATGCTCATTGCCTATGTTTCTACCTTAAGCATGGCAGTGGAAATGCTTTTTGTTTGAATTTCTCTGTTTCTGAAAATCCCACATTATTATACTATTGTAAATAGTAAATATCATATGTGGGAAACATCTTTGAATGTTTGTTATTTAACATGCTGTGCACAGACATGCCACATAGTCATCACATTGGGACCTATTAGACACACAGAATTAAGGGCCCCACATCAGATCCACTGAATCAAAATCTGAATTTTGGCAAAAATCTCCAAGTGATTTCAATGCATAGTACAGTTTTAGAAGCACTGCTTTAGCCACTTCCTGGTATGTAATCAGCCTTCTATATGTGTTAATAATCTTTCAGTAATTTCTTTTAGTTGTTTATAAATTTAACTCAAGCTACCAAATACACTTGCCAAAAGAATGACATCACTACAGTTAATAAATGGAAATAATTGCCTCTGCAGTTTAAATGTCCTGTTAGGAAAAAAAAAAATTCATATTGAATGAAAAGAAATCTTAGAAAAACTGTGAAATAGACCAAGTTGATCTTTTGTGATCCAACACTATCCTCACCAATGCCCAGAACTCCCTCACAAATATCCGTATTCCTTTAAAACACTTTCCTTTCAGTATTATTCTTCTACATTGTTTTTTTTCTTTTCTTTAAGAAGATTAATTTTGCCAAATTTTGTCAAGCCTCAAAATGTTTTATTAAATACACTTAATATTTAAAACAAAAATTCTTTATCTCCTTCTGATATTTGTTTTATTATATATCAAAATTGCACACAAAAAATTACAGGAAATATGCAGTATTTAAAAATAACTGTAGGAGCACAAGAATCATCCATTTGAAAAGAAAGAAGCCCTATGTGCTTCTCCCCAAAAAGACACTTTTTTTAAACTTTCATTTTAGGTTCAGGGGTACATGTGCTGATGTGTAAACTCATTTCACAGGGGTTTGATGTGCAGAATATTTCGTCACCCAAGTACTAAGCCTAGTATCCAATAGTTATTTTTTCTGTTCCTCTCCCTCCTCCCAAACTCTACTCTCTGGTAGGCCCCAATGTCTCCTCTTCCCCTCTTTGTGTTCATGTGTTCTTATCATTTAACTCCCACTTATAAATGAAAATATTTGGTATTTGTTTTTCTCTTCCTGTGTTAGTTTTCTAAGAATATTGGCCTCCAGCTCCATCCACATTCCTGCAAAGAACATTATATTTTTCGTTTTTATGGCTGCATAGTATTCCATGATGCACATGTACCACATTTTCTTTATCCAGTCTTCCACTAATGGGCATTTAAGTGGGTCCTATGTCTTTGCTATTGCAAGTAGTACTGTAATGAACATACACATGCATGTGTCTTTATGACCGAAAAATTTATATTCCTTTGGGTATATACTAAGTAATGGGATTGCTGGGTTGAATGGTACTTCTGTTTTTAGTTCTTTGAGGAATTGCCACACTGCTTCCCACAATGATTGAACTAATTGACCCTCCCATCAACAGTGTACAAGCATTTCCTTTTCTCTGAAACCTCACCAGCATCTGTTTTTCACATGATTGTTGGCTGCATATATGTCTTCTTTTGAAAAGTGTCTGTTCATAAACTTTGCCCACTTTTTAATGGGCTTATTTGTTTTTTTTTTTCTTATAAATTTCAGTTCCTTGTAGAGGCTGAATATTAGACCTTTGTCAGAGGCATAGTTTGCAAAAATCTTCTCCTGCTCTGCAGGTTGTCTGTTTACTCTGTTGATCATTTCCGTTGTTGTGCAGAAGCTCTTTACATTAATTAGACCTCATTTGTCAAATTTTGTTTTTGTTGTGATTACTTTGGCATCTTCAACATGAAATCTTTGCCCGTGCCTATGTCCTCTCTGGTATTGCCTAGGTTTTCTCTCAGGGTTATTATAGTTTTGGGTTTTACGTTTAAGTCTTTAATCCATCTTGAGTTGATTTTTAATATGGTCTAAGGAAGGGGTCCGGTTTTAATCTTCTGGATATGGCTAGCCAGTTATCCCAGCACCATTTATTGAATAGGGAGTCATTTCCCCATTGCTTGTTTTTGTCAGCTTTGTAAAAGATCAGATGGTTGTAGGTGTGTGGCCTTGTTTCTGGGTGATGTATTTGTTCCATGGTTTTATATGTCTGTTTATGTACCAGTACCATGCTGTTTTGGTTACTGTAGTCCTATAGTATAGTTTAAAGTCAGGTAGCATGATGTTTCCTGCTTTATTCTTTTTGCTTAAGACTGCATTGGCTATTTGGGCTCTTTTTTGTTTCCATATGAATTTTTAAATAGTTCCATATGAATTAAGTTAAATATGAGTTAGTTAAATATGAGTTAGTTAAATAGTTCCATATGAATTTTTAAATGTGAAGAATGTTATTTGTAGTTTGATAAAAATAGCACTGAATCTGTAAACTGCTTTGGTCAGTATGGCCATTTTAAGGATATTGGTTCTTCCTATCTATGAGTGTGGGATAATTTTCCCATTTGTTTGTGTCATCTCTGATTTCTTTGAGTAGTGTTTTGTAATTCTTGTTGTAAAGATGTTTCACTTTCCTGGGTAGCTGTATTCCTAGGTATTTTATATTTTTAGGCAATTTTGAATGGGATTGTATTCCTGACTTGACTTTTGCGTTGGGTGCTGTTTAGTGTATAAGGATGCTACTAATTTTTGTATACAATTTTGTATCTTGAGACTTTGCTGAAGTTGTTTATCAGCCTAAGGAGGTTTTGGGCTGAGACAATGGGATTTTCTAGATATAGGATCATGTCATTTGTAAACAGAGATAGTTTGACTTCCTCTCTTCCTATTTGGATGCCCTTTATTTCCTTTTCTTGCCTGATTGCTATGGCCAGGACTTCCAATACTGTATTTGAATAGGAGTGGTTCGAGAGGGCATTCTTGTCTTGTGCTGGTTTTCAAGAGGAATGCTTTCAGCTTTTGCCCATTCATTATGATGTTGACTGTGGGTTTGTCACAGATGGCTTTCATTATTTTGAGGTATGTTCTTTCAATACCTAGTTTGTTGAGAGTTTTTCACATGAAGGGATGTTGAATTTTATTAAAAGCCTTTTCTGCATTTATTGAGATAATCATGTGGTTTTTATCCTTAGTTCTGTTTATATGTTGAATCCTGTGTATATTAAACCAACCTTACATCCCAGAGATAAAGCCTACTTATCATGGTGTATTAGTTTTTTGAAGTGCTGCTTGATTTGGTTTGCCAGTATTTTCTTGAGGATTTTTGTCTCAATGTTCACTAAGGGTATTGGCCTGAAATTTTCTTTTTTGTTATGTCCCTGTAGGTTTTGGTATCAGGATGATGCTGGCCTCATAGAATGAGTTAGGAAAGAGTCCCTCCTCCTCAATTTTTTGAAATATTTTCAACAGGAATAGTACCAGCTCTTCTTTGTACATCTGTTAGAATTTGGCTGTGAATCCAAATGTTCCTGAGCTTTTTTGAATGGTAGACTGTTTATTACTGATTCAAGTTTGGAGTTTGTTATTGGTCTGTTCAGATATTTAATTTCTTCCTGGTTTAGTCTTGGGTTATGTGTCCAGAAAAGTATCCATTTCTTCCTCACCACATTGTTTTGTCAGCATTGTGTGTGTGGTGGACATAGCCTTGCCTTCCCAGGCAGCCTGCATGTGCCTGTGCACACTGCCATGCCACTATTGCCAGAGTGAGTTCACCCCATCTTCCCCACTCCCAAGCCCCACTGCAGGACTCTTGTTGTCAGAGCATTCACAGGCATGGATTAAGAAAATGCAGCACATATACACCATGGAATACTATGCAGCCATAAAAAAGGATGAGGATGAGTTCATGTCCTTTGTAGGGACATAGATGAAGCTGGAAACCAACATTCTGAGCAAACTGTCACGGGGACAGAAAACCAAACACCACATGTTCTCACTCATAGGTGGGAAGTGAACAATGAGAACACTTGGATACAGGGCGGGGAACATCACACACTGGGGCCTGTCATGGGGTGGGGGCATGGGGGAGGGATAGCATTAGGAGAAATACCTAATGTAAATGATGAGTTAATGGGTGCAGCAAACCAACATGACACATGTATACATATGTAACAAACCTGCAAGTTGTGCACATGGAACCTAGAACTTAAAGTATAATAATAATAAAAAAAGAAAATTTATAAAGAGGTTTCTGTGTTTGTCCAGAATAGTAAAACATTAATATCTCTTCATGATTTAAATGTTAAACTTCTAGAATGTGTGACTTGAATTGCTGTAGTATATGTAGTGGCTGTTTTTATCAGGCATTAATACCTTTGTATTCATTATGCCATAAACATACTTTCCCATTGTTTGTAAGAAACTTTTGATGGAGATAGGGTAGTGAGACCTTCCTGATGGGCACAGGTTAATGTTATAATCAGTATGTTTTAGATGTGGTATAAATATTTGGTTGGAAATTTGTTGTTTAGTACTTCACATGGGCTGGGTGCAGTGCTTCCTGTCTGTAATCCCAGCACTTTGGGAGTCAAGGCAGGAGGATTGCTTGAGTCCAGGAGTTCAAGGTTGCAATGAACGATGATCATACCACTTCACTCCAGACTGGGTGACAGAGCATGACCCTGTCTCAAAAAAAAAGAACTTTACATGTGTACTTTAAAAGACACACTGACTTTATTGCATTTGCCTTCCTGAAAGAGAAAACCCTGGGCCATCTAGGGAACAGGCATACTCCCATTAAAATACTGTAGTACCAATTGGTTTAGAATGTGATTTTGCAGGTGGGTGAGGAACCTCAGTCCCCTAATGTCCTGTATAGCACTTACACTCTTTCTGCATGATAAGCATCACAAGGAGAACAGCACACAAAATATGAAACCAGTTGCAAACATTCTTAGATCTAGTCCAGTGACACAAAACATTTGCACAGGAAGTCAGGGAAAACAGATTTATGAATCAAAGACAGGCAGCAATGATAAACAGAGGCACATGCAGGGTGCTCTCAGGGTCCGTGGCCCACAGTGCAACATGGTGCATGTGCAAATAAGACTTCACCCACCCTCACAGTAGTGAGTTAAATTATTTAATATTTTAGACAATTTAATCTAAATTATTACACTGCCTCTTTCCTAGTTATCTTTGTTTCTTTCAGCAAGGATCAGAATTAACAACTGTAGGACAGGTCTTACAGTATATTTAAGAGCCTGATGGCATGATCTCAAGAAAATGTAGGCAATTGTTCCTAGTTCTAGTTCAGAGATGTCAGTTCAGGAAAATGCCTGCAGCAGAATGTGTTATTATTTTAAACTAGAACATACTGTTCTAATTATTGCTTAAAATCCATGTTATGTCATCCTTTGCCTTATATTAAATAATACATTTTTGCATTTTTTTAGTTTGCTTTTTTCTTCCATTTCAATTCTGTCTTTGCTGCAAATTATAATAGGGAAGCTAAGGACTAATTAAATATTAAAATACCTAAATATGATAACAATAAGAAATTATTGCAAAAACAAGTGCAGAGTCTACAGAAACAATATAATCAAAACTGAAAAGAATCTTTTTTTTTTTTTTTTGACAAATGGTCTTGCTTTATTGCCCAGGCTGGAGTGCAGTGGTGTGATCATAGCTCACTGTAACCTCAAAGTCCTGGGTTCAAGCAATCCTACTGCCTCAGACCCCTGAGCAGCTAAGACTATAGGCATGTGCTAGCATGCCCAGCTGTTTTATTATTATTCTTCTTTTTGTAAAGATCAGGCCTTGTTTGTCTTGAACTCCTAGTCTTAAGTGATCCTCCCACCTCAGCCTCCCAAAGTGTTGAGAATGCAAGCATGAGCCACCACACCCAGACTGAAAAAAATCATTTTTGCTATAATCTCTAGAATCTGATATTTAAGAGCAGGAGAATAGGTTTTTATTTGTTGGAAACTAATATAAGAAATAAGTCTGAATGTGACAAGGTATTTTTGTGCCATCAGATTTTAACATAACCCAAGATGGAAAAAGAATGTCTTCTTACTTATTTAAATGGATGTCCCTGTTTTTTAGCTGACATTTCAAAACAACACAAACCTTATATTTTTTTTCATTTCATTAGTGCATGAGACTGTGCCTATATGGCAGAATTTAATTAGAAAATTAAATTAGAAAATTTAGGACATAAGAGATCATTGATACACTAATATATGATCACCCATTTCATCACTTGGCAACTTCACTTTCTAATACCATCAACTCTATTTTTATCTAAGCAAAGGAAACAAAGTTAAAATGATTATTCCCAATACTTACAAAGAAAAGGCAATTTACTTTTGGTCTCTACAAACCTGATTCATAAATATGGTCCTTTATGTACAAATCCTCAGGTGAAAGGATCTATTATTTATTTATTGTTGATTTATTTAGTCTGTAACTTACTGTTAGGCAATATACTAAATGCCACTGAAATAAAGACTAAGATAAAATTATTGCCCTCAAAAATCCTAAACCAAGTGGAAGAGATAGACAAGTGAATTAAGACGCACAAAACTGCATGTCACATTTGATCACTGGTATGGAAACGTTCTTATTAAAAGGTGAAAGAAGTTGGGGGAGAAAAAAATGGTAGGGGAAGAATCTATAGAGGATGTGACACTTAAGCTGATCCTTGAAGGATGAATAGGAGCTCCCCTGTAGAGCAACAAGAAAAAGGGGATTTCCAGACTGATGAGGCTTTGTGATCACAAGCAGCTTAGCAAAGCTAGAATACAGTGTAAGTACAAGGGCATAGCAAAAGAGGACTCTGACAGTTGGCCCGATCGTGAAGGGCTTTGAATATTAAGCCAGAGAGGCTCATAGAAAATGGGCATTTTGGTTGGATTTAATCAAGCAAGGGATATATTTGGGGTTTGGATAGAACCCTTTGTAGTTCTGTGGAAGATGAATTTGAAAGGAACAATATTGGAGGCAGGGACATGAGTTATGATTTACTGCAACCACACAAAGGAGAAACTGTCAGCCAGTGTCTAAACTAAAGAAGATAGACAGGACAAAGAGCATGGAATAGATCTGAATATGTCCAAGGAGGTAAAATAGGCAGAACCTAGAGACAGTTTGGATTTGAGCCATAAATGTGAGATAGGATAAGTTTTTAGCTTATGTCATTGCAGTGAATTTACTGAAGAATTATAGAAGAAGACCAAGATGGGTTGTTTTTGTTGTTGTTCTTACTTGTGTTTGTTATTTTTGTTTGTTTTGAGAGTGAGGAAAGAGGAAAATGGTAAGTTTAGTGATATCCAATAAGCATTCTGTAATATGTGTTTTCAGTGATGATTTTCAAAATATTTAACCATCAGTTCAACAGGCGAATCACTGAGGCCAACTGGGGAGAAGGTGTTTGTGCAGAGCCCTAGAGCCACCTGCAGTGTCAGGTATCAAGTCATTAGTTACTCGTTTGTAGGAAGATTTGGGCCAAGACACTGTGGTGAGAGGGTGTGGTCACAGGGCTTAGGCAAGGACTGTTAACTAACTGGTATAGAAGTATTTCAAAATTTTAGCAACTATAATAGCCATAGGGTACATACAAGCTAAATATCATCCCTAAGCAAAGGGAGGAAAAAAATAGAAAAATTTTTAAAAGCTGTAATTCTTTCCTCGTTTGAAGAGGGGCAGAATATGACTTCGGTGGAGAATGTTCATTTGAATGGGACCATGTTAATGGGTATTTTATCTATGCAAAAGTAGGTCTCAGGCTCAGGGCCATCCCCTGAAAGGTAGAGGTTTAGGCAAGAGTGAGATAAAATGCTTTGAAGAATAAAGCAAAAGACTTTTTCATATATTGAAGAAAAGATATGTTGCCCCTAACAGATATTTTGATACTAGGAGATTTTCCACTTTCTCTAAGGGGCAATAAAAAAAGAACATAAAAAGGATGAGTGGACCCCAGCACATTACGACTGACCATGTCTGGGTAGAAGGACAGTTGGCAGGGCACTCCCAGCAAAAGGCAGGATAAATGTCATGCATGAACTGAAAGGCCTCAGACAAAAGAGAAGCCATGATTTGGTGGCCAATCAAAGCAAAGCAAAAGTTCCATATAATAAATAATGAGCAGCAATTTAAGCTCCCTCTGAGGACATTGTAACTTGAGGAGGTACTAAGCTTCCTGAAGTCAGACAGGATGAAGGTGCAGCCTGTGGTTAAATGGATATTAAATGAGAAGTAAGAAAAAAACTGGAAAAACTCAGGAAACCTTGGGTATCATACAGATATATAGTATTTAAGATAATTGTGGGATTTATAGGATTGAGTCTTGGGCTGAGAAGTCATCTTATAATTGTATATGGTTAAATGATTGAGAGTTTGTAAAATTAGGAGAACTGAGGATGTAACTGCCGGACGCTACCATCTATGGAACAGATGGAGAAACATTCACATTCAAGAAACACCAAGGAGTGAGTCTGAAATGCAGACGATTCGGTGACTGAATTTTTGAAGAAACTAAGAAAAAAAGATTTTGAAAGTGTGCATGGTCAGGGAAGTTAAGTAAGATAGGACTGGAAAGAATCAACAGTATTTGGTAATAAGGAAGCCATTAGCAAGCAATGAGAAAGGGCTCCTAGTGTTGTACCAGTGGCCTTAACCTATTTGTAGTGAGTTGAGGAAGGAAAGCACAGTACAGATACCGAAATAGTAAATTTAGACCGCACTCTTGCTAAACGGATGTAAGAAGAAATGAATGACATAAAGCAAGAGCTAAAAACATTACTGGGTTAAGAGAGGTATTTCTTTTAAGATGGGATAAAGCTAAACCTATTTATATGATGGAGAAAGCAATGAGGGAGCAAAGGAAAATAAAGAAAGAGAGCAGAGGAGAAATAAATAGTGATAGATGAGCTCAGAAGGCTAGAGACTGATGACAATCCACAGTTAAGAGATAACATTGAGTAGGAAAAAGTAACTCCCCTCCATTAGTGCAATCCTTGTCTCTTTATCTCAAGTTTCATAGCTAGAAAACACAGAGGTATCAGTAAGTGAGACACTACAAGAGTATACCTCTCTTTCAGTAAGTCATTGTGTAATAAAAACTGAAGTTCTTCTGCAGAATTTTAAAAATAGCTTCCAATATCTAAGGCAATACTTCATATGGAAGAGCTATTCCTCTAGGGTACTATTTGAATAGTGATCACGTTTTAAGAATTAATGTGTAAGTCATTCACCCACAATACTGCCATCAGTAGGATGATTATAGGTCATTTTATTTATGGAGAGAAAACTCTAAGTTTCCCAACAAAAAATAGTTATTTGTTTTTCAAAGGAAAATTTTCCATCTAATTGATCCCTGTAAGAATGGAGCTTGTGGGCCTGGCATGGTGGCTCACGCCTGTAATCCAAACACTTTGGGAAGCCGAGGTGGGTAGATCACCTGAGGTCAGGAGTTCGAGACCAGCCTGGCCAACATGGTGAAACCCCATCTCTACTAAAAATACAAAAATTAGCCAGGTGTAGTGGCAAGCTCCTGTAATCCTAGCAATTCAGGAGGCTGAGGCAAGAGAATCACTTGAACTTGGGAGGCAGAGGTTGCAGTGAGCTGAGATCGTGCCACTACACTATGGCCCGGGCAACAGAGCAAGACTTTGTAAAAAAAAAAAAAAATTCAAGAATGGAGTTTGTATTTTTTTTTTAAATTTTAGCAATTATGTGGTTCTCAAAACAAGTGAGGTAAATGGCTGACTTAAGTAGATGTGGGTTTATAAATCGCTAAATCATATCATCAAAAAGAAGCATATCCTAGTAGTTAAAAGAGTGAATTTGAAAACGAGACTGCCTAAGTCATAGGATTGAATCCCTAATTCAATCTAACCCTAATTACCTAATCTAAGTCTCAGTGCCTTCATCTGAAATAAGAGAATAAAAATAGTACTCATTTTACAAAATAGTTAACAGGTTTAATTATACACACATACACACACACACACATGCCCCTAAGTGTATATATGCGTGTAACACGTGGAATAGTGCCTGGCATATAGCAAGTATTTATGAGTATTTGTAATTTTTATTATAAAATTGCATTTGGGGTAGTTAAGAAATTTATTTCTCACAGGACACTGAGTTTCTTCACTGGAGATGTTCAAGAATCAGCTAGAAAATGAAATTATCAAATGATGTTTTCTAGAATTCGCGAAAACTCTTAAGATTTTGAGATTTTTATCATTTTCATGTTAAAGATAGAAAAAATGCAGTGACGATCTTTATTTGACCCAAGACAAGCAGTAAGTAAATAAATCCAAAGCCTCCAGACCACCTACCTAATCATGATCAGCATAAGTTGGAAAATCAACTTAGATTTATTGTGTATGTGCTTAGTGTGTTACAGAAAATACTACTGAAAGGAATTTGAACAGGTATCTGTTGTTAAAGTCAGTCACTGACAGTTTGTTATGCATCTGGTTGACCTCTTCTGAGGTAAACAAGCCACTGGAAATATGGAAAACCAGTTCTGAATCACCATGGAGCCCTATGAGGCACATGGATGGATACAGAGTAGAGACGTGTAGACCAAATAGGTGACATTTTGATAATACATTCTTTTGAAAGTGACATCAAGAAAAGGAGACCTTTACCAGCTCTGTCTTGGAATGTCAGTGTGGCACTTCGGGGACTCACTGAACTCCTTATCCTGTTGAACTTTTAACCTTCATTGATCTAAAATTCTTGTTCTAAAACCAAACCAAGAAAAAAAAAAAAAGGTTGCCTTTCTCTCATACATTCCTCAAGGAGAAACAGATATACAGTCATAAATTATTAATTCTCTGCCTTTGAAAAATAAAAAAGCGGCATCTCGTACAATGTCTGCAACCGTATTATTGTTTAATTTTTTCTTCATATACTACCTTGGAATTATCATACTACAGTGAGATTAGAAAGTCATACTCAGAAACCTAATGGATATTCAGGGAAGTGGAAAAGCGCTGGCCCACCTTGGGAAAGAATTCACTTTTTAAATGCATATCGAAGTTACAGTTTAATTACAATTTTTAAATGAAGGGTAATCCGAATGTTACCTCTAATTATAATGGCCAATTGAATTGGAACATGGTTTCGTAAATAATCCCATTGGTTTCAAGCAAATACTAACGAACCACAATTTCCATCTTAAATTGGAGCATTTAATATCTTTCTTTTTCAAATTTTCAAAAATAAATTTCACTGTGTATATTGAAGGTATACAACATGATATTATAAGATATATATATGTTAAGATATATATATCTATGTTAAGTCATATACATATATATGACCTAATGCTGCTGATAGGTTCTCAGAAACTGCAACTTTAATTGAAATTACATATAATTAAACCAATTTTACCAAAGGTTAATTGATGTAACAAGAGTTAAGTTCCTATATATTTCTGGTCACAAAAACCAACAAACTTCTAAAAACACTTCTAATATTTAACATTGAAATAACTGTGAGTTATATATACATTTAAGAAAGACTAGTAGAAACAAGTAAGATACTTATTTATCCAGTTATTCTAGCTCAAGATTTCGAGTGGTTGGAGCCACTCCCAGCAGTGCAGTACACAAAGCGGAAACCCACTTTGAACAGGAAGCCTCATCGCAGGATGCACTCATATACACACTCACACTCATTAAGACTGTGACAATTTAGACATGCCAATGAAGCTGAGGTGCATGTCTTTGAGATGTGGGAGGAAACAGGAGAACCTGGAGAAAACTCATGCAAAATATTGGGAGAACATGCAAACTCCAAACAGACAGGATCCAGGGTCCAGAATCATCTTTTTTCTCACGAACATTATAATAAAATGACTCGAATGGATAGGATGTTATTTGAGGACCTGCTGCATATAGTAAAGTGGTTACCAAAGTATAACAAATTAACATATCCATCCTCTCACGTAGTTACCAGTTTTTCCTCCTGTGGCAAGAGTAATCTACTGTAGGACTGTAGTACTGTAGCACAGTATCAGCTGTAATCTACTCATCTAGCAAAACTTCAGAATACAATATTCCATTATCAACTATAGTCCTCATTTGGTACATTAGATCTTTCAACTTGTTTGTCCTACATATTTGCTACTTTGTATCTCTTTTAACCTCCATCTCCCCATTTCCTTCCCCGACCTTAACCCTGAAAACTACTGTTTTATTTTCTGTCTCTATGTATTTGACTTTTTAAAGATTCCATATATAAGAAGGATCATGCATTTTTTTTTTGGTATCTGGTTTATTTTACTGAGAATAATGTCCTCCAGGTCCATCCATGTTGTGGCAAATGGGAAAATTTCCTTCCTTTTTAAGGCTAAGTAATACTCGTGTGTGTGTGTGTGTGTGTGTGTGTGTGTATCACAGTTTCTTTACACATTTGTTCATTGATAGACATCTAGCTTGTTTCCATACCTTAGCTACTGTGAATAGTGGTGCAATGAATAGAGTTCAGCTCTTTTAATGAGATGGTGATTTCATCTCAGAAGAGGGATAGCTGGGTCATATGATGGTTCTATTTTCATTTATTAAGGAACCTCCACACTGTTTTCCACAATGGCTGCACCAACCCACATTCCCACAAAGAGTACACAAGCATTCCCTTTTCTCCACACACTTGTTACCTCTAGTTTTTTTGATAATAGACATTCTGACAGGTGTGAGAAAAATCTGGTAGTGGTTTTGATTTGCATTCCCCTGATGACGAGTATTGATGTCAAAACAAATCTCCAACTTCACAGGACACATGAGATTATTAATAAGCATATGAAGTCATATGTGTACAAATAGATGTCTGTTTCTGGAACACAGTTCAAAGGATAACAGTTTTTAATTAAACATTTTTCAAATCCATTTTATTATCTTTATTCTCACTAAAATGGATGAATCATGCCTTCTCTATCAAGAGGCAAATAGAAAGGAGATTTGTAAATCAAATATTACATAAGGGTTTAGTATGCAGAATATACAAATTCTGTAACTATTAAAACACAGCAACCAAAAGACAAATTACTCAATTGAAAACGACAAAATACTTGACCATTTTTCCAAAGAAGATATAGAAATATCCAATAAAGCATGAAAAGATTAGAATACTGTTCTCAAGGCCTATCTATGCTGTAGCATGGACCAATACTTTGTTCCTTTTTCTGACTGAATAATATTCCATTGTATGCATATGCCACAAAAAAATAGACAAATGATACAATTAAATTAAAAAGCTTCCACACAACAAAAGAAATAATCAACAGAGTGAACAACTTGCAGAATGGGAGAAAATATTTGCAAGTTATGTGTCCAACAAAAGACTAATATTCGAATCGACAAGGAACTCAAACATCTGAACAACAACAAAAACCCAAATAAGTACATTAAATAGTGAGCAAAGGACATGAAAAAGATATTTTTAAAGCCATGCAAGTAGACAGTAAGCATATGAAGAAATGCTCAACATCACTAGTCATCAGAGAAATGCAAATTAAAATCACTATGAGGCTGGACACAGTGGTTCATGCCTGTAATCCCAGGACTTTGGAAGGCAGATCACTTGAGTCCAAGAGTTCAAGACCAGCCTGGCCAACATGGCAAAACCCCATTTCTAATAAAAATACAAAAATTAGCTAGGAATGGTGGTGCACACTTGTAGTCCCAGTTACTCAGGAAGCTGAGACATGAAAATCGTCTGAACCCTGGAGGCAGAGGTTGCAGTGAGCCAAAATCACACCACTACACTCTAGCACCTCTAGCCTGGGCAATAGAGTGAGACTGTCTCAAAAAAAAAAAAAAAAAAGCCACTATGATATACCCTCCAATACCAGTCACAATGGCTGTTATTAGAAAGTCAAAAAAATATCAATTGTTGCTGAGGATGTGGAGAAAAGGAAACACACACTGTGGGAATGTAAATTAGTATGACCACTATGGAAAACAGTATGGAGATTTCTCAAAGAACTAAAAATTGAGCCACCATGCTACCATTTGATCCAGCAATCCCATTACTGGTATCTACCCAAGGGGAAAGAAATCATTATACCAAAAAAGATACTTGTACTCATGCTTACTCCAGCACTATTCACAATAATAAAAATATGGAATTAACCCAAATTCCTATCAATAGATGATTGAATAAAGAAAATGTGGTATATATGTGTGTATATATATACATATACACATATATATACATATATACATATATACGTATATATATACATATATATACATATACACACACAGCATAGAACTGTATTCAGCCATAAAAAAGAATGAAATCATATATTTTCCAACAACATGAATGGAACTGGGGGCCATTATCTTAAGAAAAATAACTTAGAAATCAAATACTGCATATTCTTATTTATAAGTGAGAGCTAAACAATGTGTACACATGGACATAAAGAGGGGAATGATAGACATCAGAGACTTGCAAGGGTGGGAGGATGGAAAGGGGGTGAGGAATGAGAACTTATTTAATCGGTATAATGTACATTATTTGAGTGATGGCTATAATAAAAGACCAGATTTCACTGCTATGCAATATATTGATCTAACAAAACTTCACCTGTACTGCCCAAATCTATAATTTTAACAAATGTCTATTCTGGACATTTCATATAAATGGAATAGTACACTATGTGAACCTTTGTGTCTGCTTCCTTTTCCTTAATATAATGATCTCAAGGTTTATCCAAACTGAGCATGTATCAATACTTTATTCCTTATATAGCTGAATAATATTACATTGTATGAATACCACCTCTTTATTCACTCATCCATTAATAGACATTTGGGTTGTTTCGACTTTTGGGGCTAGTATGAGTAACACTGCTATGAGCATTCCTGTACAAGTTTTTGAGGGGGCATATGTTTTTATTTTTCTTGAGGACATATCTAAGACTGGAATTGCTGGATTATAGGGTAACCCTACACTTAACATTTTGAGGAATTGCCAAACTGTTTTCCAAAGTGGCTGCACCATTTTACATTTCTCAGTTTAATATAATTCAGCTTCTCTCTGTGTGTTCTAATTCTCATATTCAAAATCAACCAGTAGAAGGTTTTCCCCTATCCCTGCTTCTTAGGGTTTCACCTAAATTCCAGGCTTAAGATTATGGAATTGGAGGGAAATGATTATTTGAAAAGGCAAAATAGCGATTAAATTGAGCTGTAGCAAAATAAGGTTACATTACTTGGCTAAGTTAATTGAAAGACATAGAAATCTGTACTTGACATACGCAGATGTAATTAGAATGATGTTTATGTGCACACAGGTACGATGGTTGATTATTTTAAAATCTTAGGAGTTGTATTTCAGGAAATGGCTATTTCTACTTTTAATTGGCTGGAGAAAACATTCTTGAGCCTGTGAGATTAGCTACTTAAATGATAGGAGGCAGAGTGTTTGGGACGCTTGAAAAGCAGTGGTTCAGGAGAGAACCTGGAAATTTGACTGAGATAATTAAAAGCAAACATCAAAGAGTTCGGAAGAACCATAAACACATGGATGTGGAGATTTAAAGTAGAATCTTGGTCTGAATTTTTAGGGCATTTGGGAAGCCACTACACAGTGTGAAGGAAGCAGGTGACAAGGTTAAAGCAGAGGTCAAATTAATGATTTAACAGCAGTTTTGAGAAATTGCTGGAGTCAGGCAGGACTATAGTCTGCGAGTGAAATGATATTAAACCAGGCCAGGTGGAAGATGCTGGCTCTGAGGCTTGGCAGCTGATATGCTTGGTTAGGAGAATGATTGATAAGAGTCTACATCTTGCTAAAAAGCTGATTGGAAAATGTTTACAGTAGAACAGAAAATGGACACTTGTGAAGACTAGTCTTTGGTCCTCTTTTGTATTCATCTGTTACATAGATTGATGAGAAAAGAAAAGAAAATCAATTTAGATGATTAAAGAAACTCTTTCCTTCCAGCCATCCAGACTGGGTCCGTTGTCTCCAAACATACTTGGTGATAGGAATTACCTGGCAACAACAAGAAAATATCTTTCATTAAACAGAAGGTTTTTCAAAGACCATTCAGTCAAGCAAACAGCTACCTCATTAACCAAACTGGGAAAGATTCCAAATGTTTACAAAATAATTATATTCAACACCTACAGGCACATCTCAAGCTTCTTTCATGGGCATTCTCCCCTTTCAGCTGCAGTAAAGCAGCCCACCATTTTCCTAAGCAGCATTTTAAAACACTTTTGTTTTTTATTTCAGACAAAACATGATGGACAGTGATAAAGCAAATTATATATTAATTCTCCCCACCAAAAACAAGTAAATAAAAAAGATGCTTTCAGATGCTTCATGCTTCCATTGAGACTGGGGTATGAATTCTGAACGATTCATTTGAATGAGTTCACTTCATCTTTTGTTTAGTTACGTATGCAAGCTGAACCAGTAGGACTGCAGAAGACATATAATTACTACGTCTATTCTGATTCTAAAAATCACTTTAAATCTTTTCTGCAAGTAATGATTTCAAAAAGCAACATCCTGGTACTATTCAGTTCCAGGCCCTTTTACCTAAATACACACACACACATACACACATAAACACATACACACACACACACATATGGTTGCTTAATATTTTTGTAGCAATTAAGAGAATTAAACAAGACCAGCCTTTGTCTGGGATCCCCTTCATTTCCACTTAAAGTCAACAGTTTATTTTGTGGACACACTAATTCTTAGGTTCTTAGTGACTTCCAATTTTCTCTATTTTTAGAGTGTTAATAGATCAGAAAACCACGCATAACTTCATGCTTCAGATGTTTCCATTCAATTCACCATCAAAATGCACTTGCCCTTGGCTTTAATTCTTCAGAGCTTTACTTTCTGAAAGGGATCTATCCTAGTATTCAGATTTATTTATTCGCTAAGATTGGTGTTTTATCTCATCACCCCTCCAAGAGAATGTATTTAAATCAGAACAGTGACCTTCTGTTGATACCGTCTTAGCTCAAAGACATAATTCTGACTGTAGGAATACCAAGCACTATGGCACACCACTTTGGAAATATTCTGAGCAAAACATAGGCAACTGCCTATTCCACCTTTGCATCAGACTGCCTCAGGCCCAGAAAATAAATGCACATGTGCAGCAAATCTCAAAAGAGCAAACCCTAAGAGGCTAAGTCACAGAAGTCATTCATCACAACATTAGGTAATTCTTGAGCCTTAGGATGATTGATGTGTTTAATTTAAACTGGCCTGGGTACACAAGATATGTCCCTGAAGTGGAAATAGTGTGAGTGGGTGAGATGGAGGAAGAGATTTTAAAAGAAAGCAGTTTTCTCCTTCAAGCTTTTCTGTGTACATGTCTTTTAACAAAACAAACGAGAAAGTATTTTAATTACCACATTATAGAATTTTATCCTGTTCTCTGGTTTTCTCCTGTACTTGTGAGGTAAACGCTGTCTTGTCTCATTTCATAAGAAGTTCATTTTTATAAGTAATAATGCCTTTAATAAGAAACTCATTTTAGTGTGTTATGACAGTGGAACACACAGTCATATAGATCAGTTAAAGTCCCACTCATGATGCGTTAGAAGATGCCAGCTGAAGTAATGGTATTTATACTGATGGGCTTAGCTTTGGTCTTTCTCTTTAAGGGAACATACAGGAAAATTACTAAATTGGACACCCAATACAACAACAAAGCATATTATGTAGTATGACTTTCTGAACTTCATTGCTAATTAAAAATATTTTCTGTATTTTTAATTTAATATTACCTATATTGGGTAGTAGGATATGACTATTTTAGACATGACTATATGTCAAACTCCAGTATTAAATTTTGGTGCATATATGAAATATCTAAGTAGCTTTGATAAGGGGAATTCCTTAGATTGGTCTTATTTGCTAGGCCAAGGACTATATTAGATTCTGTAAATAAGATGGTGAGATGCTTTGGACTGTACAGTTGAAGTATGCAAATTGGTATGAACAAAAAGAATTTCACACATAAAAATACAACTATAACATGTATTTATTTCTAAGAAGAAAAATTATAGAGTATTTTGAAGGCATTTTATAAGAGATCTATTATAGACAATGTTTGCGGTCCCCCAAAATTTACATGTTGAAATCTTCACCCTCAACGTGAAGGTGTTAGGAGGTGAGACCTTTGGGAGGTAGTTAGGTCCTGAGGGTGGAGCCTTCATGATAGAATCAGTGCTCTTATGAAAATAAACATGATGAGTAGTGCTCTTATAAAAAGGACCTGGCTTCATTTCTGTTCTCAGCCATCTGAGGATACAAGGAGAAGATGTTCATCTGCAAACCAAAAAGCAGGCCTTCACCAGACACAAGATCTACAAGCACTGTGATCCTGGGCTTCCCTGGCTCCAGAACTGTGAGAAATAACTTTCTGTTGATTAAGCTACCCAGTCTATGATATTCTGTTTCAGCAGCCCAAACTGACTAAGACAAGATTATTATGCAATCACGGAGAGTAGGAAAAGCCTCCCTGACATCGTGTAATCAGAGCAAGCTCTGAAAGATGCTTAGTAGCTATGTAGGTTGGAGGAAGAGTACTAAAAGTGGTTAAAAATTGATGGAAGAGGACCCAAATGGGGAAAGTATGGTGCATTTGAGGCAATGGAAGAAGATGTTAATGACTGGAGAATAGTGGACTCAAGAGAGAATTAAGAAAGATGAGAATAAAAATATATAGTCAGAAAGCAAATCATGGAGGGCCTTATAGGCCATAATAAATTTTTTTATCCTATAGTTACTGGAAAATGATTAAAATGTTTTAATCATGACATGGCATGAGTACCCATCTGTACTCATACTCTCCTGGTTCTCCTATGAAGAATGGTTGCAAATCGGGCCAGAGTCAAAACAGGAAGTTTAATGAAAAGGCTATTGTATTAATCCAGAAAAAGCTTCAACTTTGATGGCATGGCAAACTCTAGTTCCCTCTAGAGAGGTAGACCATTTTAGGAAATATTCAAGAAGCAATGCGAACAGTATTTAATGAATGATGAGTGAAGAAGATGGAGGTTTCAGAGAAAATATACAGGTTTTGTCCTGTACAAGTGGATGGATGTGGTGTCATTTGCTGAAATAAAGAACGTCAGAGGGGAATATAGTTTTCTGAGTAAGCCAGTAAACTCGATTTTCATCATAATCATATTGAAGTTCCTTTGAGACATCCAAAGGTAGCATATAAAAATCTGGAGCTTACAAGATAAATTGGGGCTAGAGAGATCAACTAGAGCTCCTTGGCATGTAGATGGCAAGAATCCTATGAACATGGAGAGAAGAGAATCTAGGATGGAATTTGAAGAAACTAAATATTTACAGTCGGTATGAAAAGTTGAGCAGGCAAAAAAGACGGATTAAGAGATTTCATGTAAGACTGCTATGCTTTTAAAGAGGTTTCTGAATGGAGTAAAAGCTGTAAAAATATAAAACACATGGGATTGAAACAGTAACTTTTAGTACTATTAAGATAGGATGGAAAATAAAGGGTAGGTGAGTTTTTGTTCAACTTAATGAGCAGAGAGCACACTTATTGGAGATGAAAAAAAGATGGTGGATCAAAAACAAATGAAAACTAAGTTTTTCTTCTTACCATGAACTTCAGAAATGTTCAATGACACCATAAAAACGGAAAATCCTTATAAGATGAAAAATCTGCATGCTAATTGTATGGCTTTTGGAGTCTCAGGGGTAGGTGTTACAGCAGATCAAAACATAAGTACCAAAGATGTCACTTAGGCTTAAAGAGACCATCAAAATTAAGGCATTCCATGGATATTCTGTGTCAATTGAAATTATATTTGTTTTCATTTTCCTGACACTTGCTTAATCTCCTATATTCTTAGGGCTAATTGTTCACCAAGTTTTCTGGCAGGAGTGATAATCTTGTATGAATTCATGCAAAGCAAAACTTCAAGTGAGCTACATGTTTTGGCCAAGCTGACCCTCCTGGAATTCACTGTTCTCCATCTTCCAACTGGATTAGGTGCTCCTTAATCTGTCATAACAGTGTACAACTGGATTCCTGGAACTTATCTTTGCCAGCACCTTGGGAATTTTCTTTGTGGTTTTTTTTTTTTTTTTTTTTTTTTTGAGATGGAGTCTTTCTCTGTCACCCAGGCTGGAGTGCAGTGGCGCCATCATGGCTCACTGCAACCTCCGCCTCCCTGGTTCAAGCAATTCTCCTGCCTCAGCCTCCCAAGTAGCTGGGATTACAGGTGCATGCAACCACACCCAGCTAATTTTTGTATTTTTAGTAGAGATGGGGTTTCACCACGTTGGTCGGGCTTGTCTCAAACTCCCGACCTCGTGATCCGCCCGCCTCGCCCTCCAAAAGTGCTGGGATTACAGGCATAAGCCACCATAATTGGTCTTGTGTTTTTCTTAAATCTCATGTTGTCTCATTTCTTGATTTTCTTTATTGTTTTAGTGGAACATCTCATCCAGTAGTTTTCTAAAATAAACAGACTATATGGAAGGTAAATTTTAAAAACTTTATGTGTCTGAAAACACGTTTGTTCTACACTTGCACTTGACTGATAGGTTACTAAAGCGTTCTAAATTGGAAATTACTTTTTGTTATAACTATGGAAACATTGCCTCATTATCTTTGAACTTTTTGTATTGCTATTGGTAAATCTGATGCCATTTTAATTTATCTTTTCTTTCCTATGGAGTCTGTTTTCTTTTGTCCATATGAAACAAATTGGAATTCTTTCCTCATAGCCAATGTTTTGAAATTTTATGCTAATGACTCTTGGTGAAAATCATCTCTGTCTACTGTGCTAAACAATTATGCACTTTTTGCTGTTACCTTATGCACTTAGTTCTGGGTAATATTTTTAGGTTAAATCTTTGCTAATTTTTCTTCATCTCCATTATCTTTCTTTGAAATATCCAAATACATAAATATTGCACTTTGGGGGCTAACTTTTAATTATCTTTTATTGCAATACTTTATATCTCTCTGTCTTTTTGTTCTATTTTATGGGAGATTTCATTAACCTTATATTCCAACCTTATATGCTGTAATATTTTCACTTTATAAGATTACCATTCAGATAATATTATTTGGTTAAATTTTTTTTCTGTTGTCTTTTGCATCTGCCTTGTTTATTCTCCAAGGATATTTTACACATATATTTCATTTTATATATTTTAAGAATATTATTTCTATACTAATAATCTTTCTCTGAAGCTTTCTCTAATTTTTTGGTGATCCTTGGCTATTCATTAATATTGTTAAGGATGAGGTCAGTTGTGAGCCTCTAATGGTTTAGTATGACTTGAAGAATGGGCGTCAGTATAGAGAGAGCAGGAAAGGAGCTCACTGTGTTGGGGCCATTCTTTCTCTTTAAACAGTTCATTTATCCTGAAATAATATCTGCAATGTCCTGCTCAGTTGCTATGAACTGGGCTGCCAAAACACTGGGAACAGAGTGAGAAAAGGCAAATGTGCTACTCTCTGCTTTGTATGTGCAGTTAATTCCTATATGCAATATGGCATCTCTGATCTCTGCGTATTTTTCCAGGAGTCAGAGTCCTTCCGGCAGGAGTCTCTCAAGAAAGTATACTTTCTACTTTTAGAGTGTGGAAGTGTAATTACCTGAACACAGGTGGTTAGAGAGAAAATTGATGTCTCCTTATATAGACTTTCTGCCAGTTTTTCTGTTTTCAAGACACCTTGTACCTTTACTTTCACTGGTATTTTGTGCCCCCAACTTCTAAGCCTATTTCTCTAACACACTCTTAATGGACATGACTTAGCTACTCTAGAATTTCTAATGACATCCTTTTCCACATTCATAAACACCAAAAGAATAAATATGCAAATTCTTCGTATAAATCACTCTTACTTGAGGTATTGCTCCTCACAAGAGGGCATTAGCTGTGGGTGTCTGCCTGCAGACCCTGACCCAAAGGACGGATGAATAAACGTACACTGACACACATTCTGTTTTGCCAGTCCTACTGAGTGTCTGACCGCCTACACACCAACAGAGGTTTGTCACTGTGGCCCGTCTTGATCAGCTAGGGAGACTCGCATTTATTCATTAAGATTAGTTAACAAAAGCTTGAGTCAACACCATTAGAGGGTAATTGACATTGTGGACTTCCCCAGCAAAAAGCACACATCAGAGGCTCCTCTTAAGACCACATGAGTAAACAAGCTAACTAGATAACTTCCCCACATCCCCTTGTTTACTACTCTAATCTATTTAACTAAAGGTAATGGAACCAGGCCACCTTCCGTCCCTTCTATTACGGAAGTCATGTGAAAACCCTCGAGCCTTCCAAAAGGGTTTTGTGGCTATCATAACTAATATTTTTCCCACCAGCCTGATCGAATCCCAACACTTACCCTTAGGAGTTTTTGCTTATTTATTCCTTTACTGGTCGTTCCATTAAGTTTAACAAAAACTCTCGATAGTTCTTTAAATGAGAATATTTTAAATACAGGTTACATTCCTATTTAAAATTTGGTAGTGCTACATATAGATATTGCCCGACAGTCTGTCAAATTGCATCAAAACTAATGAGAGGTACACTTGACTTTAAAAACTCATCTATATCTAACTCTAAGAATTTCTTTAGCCTCAATGTTAACCCAAAATATTAATTGCCTGTTAAACAAGAGAGTGTACGATCATCATACATTAACCGAAAAAAAGATGTATATATTTAAAATACTATCAAATTAGGTATTGACCACACATATCTCTTAGATTTATTAATACATTTTTACAGGTGCCAACATAATAAAAGGTGGCCGGGATAGAAATTATATATATATATGTGTATATATATATATAGAAAACACTTCAAATGTTGACATTTGGAGTGTTCTGGTCCTAAAGGCAAATCAGTGTTGAGTGAGTGGAGCTCCTGGCTGGGGTAAAGTCCTCTAAAGCCTGAACCAGTAATACTTCAGGGTTCCATCTCCTACTTGGTAGCCCAGGCATGTCCCTCTGCTCAGAGGCCTCGTGGAGGAGGGACTTTGAAGAGAACATGGCTTCCTCAGGTCAGGATGCTCTGATAAACGATCACAGAGGATTTTGCTCTTCTTATAAGACACCTGATATTAGTATGAAACATGACCAGAATATATTTGGAAAGCAGTTTCTTCCAAATAGTTTTCAAGAAAAATCCTTGTGAGTAATTTTTAACATATATAATCTGTGCCTTATTCTACATCGAAATCTAAAGACATTTATATTGTGTCATCACACAAAGAAATTAATCTCATAAAGTTCTAAAAACAATCATTTGGGATTTTGTTTGGACTTGCATTAAAATGAATAATATTAACAACTGGGAGAATGAAAAGCTTTACAATCTTGACAGTTCTCATCCAGGAACTTGAAAACTGCAAGATGTGAATTGACATGGTTTGGTTATGTATATTTCTTTTCTGAAACACTGCTTCTTCATATAAAGCCTAAAATAGCAAAGAGTGGCTTAAATGGTCAGGAAAAAGAAAATTGGACGGATAGTAAAGAAATCATGGAAACTGATTTGTTAAAGGGAGACATTTTCCACCCAGCACACAGTAGAATCAAAATCATTTAGATCAGTAAACAGCCATAAATCTCAATTTCTTGAGCCAATTTGTAGTTTTCTTTTGAAGAAATTGAATAAAATTGAGTATTTTCCAGAAGCAGATTTCAGATATCTTGATCTAAGTTAGAAGAAAATGATGTTATTAAACGTTAGTATTCTTTAAAATGTGGTACTTTCCCTTACAAGAAACTATTCAGTAATACACATTACTTAGATTATAAATCTTTCTGAAGATAATACAGTGAACTTCCACTAGAAAGTAGGTTCCCCAAACATAATATTTTATAGTTTTCACATAAACTTTTCAAGAATTATTTTTACAAGTAGACTATATAATGTTCCCAAATCCACTTCCCTTCTCTTTTTCTCCGGCTCTCTTCATTCCTCCTCCAAGAATTGACCATTAATCTAATTCAGTATTTATTATTCTCATGTGTGTTTTATATTATATCTATATTTGTGTTGCATGTTTTTAAACTTTATAGAAATTATATCTCATATATTCTGCTATACATTTTTATTCAACAACAAAACAAGAAGTTCAAATTCACACATTAGCTCTAGTTTAATCATTTTCATTATTCTACAGTTTCACTGATCATATTAACCAAAATTTACTTATGTATTCCCAAATTGATAGACATTTAGATTATTTTATTTTATTCATTGTTATAAACAATATCACAACGAACATTTTTATTTGTGTCTCCCCCTTGTGCACATGGATGTGAGTTTCTCCAGGGCATTTCTCAGCCTAAGCACTAATGGAATTTTGGGGAGATTAATTATTTGTTGTTCAAGTTAGAAGTGGGGTGGGAACTGTCCTGTGCATCGTAGAATGTTCAGTAGAATCCCTAGTCTATATCCATTAGAAGCCAATATCAGCCTATATTTTGTGACCAAAATTTTAAAAAAGTCTCCAGACATTGCCAAATGTTCTCCTCGGGACATTAGCCCTCATTTAAAACCACTACTCTGAAGTATAGGCATTTAAGTGCTGTTTCACAGACTCGCATGTCCCAGCTTTACTAAATATTGCCAAATTGCTGTACAAAACAATGTGTCACTTTCCATTGCCACCAGCAGATGTTGCATTTCTAGATCTTTATAATGAAATATTCCTAACATACAAAATAATACATAAAGTACAGATATAAGAAGTCAATTATAATAAATAGATTAGCACTATGTATTTACAACCTGGTTTAAAAAATAGGAAATTATAATACTTTAGAAATTCATATGTCCCTTTCTAATATTAATTATTCTTTCTCACTCCTCCTTCCCTAAGAAATTATAGTACTTTTGAAACTCATATGTCCCTTTCTAATATTAATTATTCTTTCTCACTCCTCCTTCTCTCAGAAGTAACCGAGAGGTAAAGCCTATCCTTTAGAGTAGTGGTTTTAAATGAGGGCTAATGTTCCCAACAGAACATTTGGCAATATCTGGAGACATTTTTTTTTGTCACAAAATGTTGGCTGTTAGTCGCTTCTAATGGTTATAGGTTAGAGATTCTACTGAATATCCTACAATACACAGGAAAGTTCCCACCCCGCCTGTAACTCCAAAAACAAAGAATTATTCTCCACAAAATATGACTAGTGCTGAGGCTGAGAAATCCTGCCCTAGAGAAATTTGCATCCATGTGCACAAAGAGACATAAATAAAAATGTTCATTCCAATATTGTTTATAATAATAAATAAAATAAAATCTAAATATGTACCAATTTGTCTAAAAATATCCTCATTTTTTATTCATTTCCTTCCTTTTCATAACACAAATAGGCACATATCTAAATATTATGCTGTTATTCATCTTTTTATATACTTTTAAAAATTTGTCTAATCAATTTTATCAGCTTTATTAAAGTATAATTGTATATTTATAAACTGTACATGTTTAATGTCTACAATTTGATGAGTTGGGACATATGCAAATACTCATGGTACCATCACCACAATCAAAGTAATAAACATATTCATCAAATATTTTCTTGTGACCCTTTGTGTTTGTGCTTGTGCAGTGAAAACACTTAACGTGATATCTAACTTCTCAACAAATGTTTAAGTGTGCAATACCTTATCATTAACTATAGATGCTATGTTGCACAGCAGATGACTAGAGCTTATTCATCTTGCATAACTGACACTTTGTACCCATTAAGTAACAATTCCCCATTTCCTCTTTCCCTCAGCTCCCAGAAACCACCAATCTATTTTCTGCTCCTATGAGTTTGACTATTTAAATTTCATATAAGTGAAATTGATAGTGACAGGAGGCAGAGAAACTCTAGGCAGACGGGCAGGTCCCTGGCAAAACCCCACCTTAGAGCCAAAAGGCCTGAAACCCATGGCCCAAGGTGAGAACTTTCACCCCTGTGTGCCCAATCTCTCCTGATTGGTTCTTTCTGAATAATGTCTTTTCACCAATTGAATGTTGCCTCTTCCAAAACTACCTACGGCCTGCCCCCATCCTATGCCTATAAAGACCCCAGACTCAGCCAGCAGAGAATAGAAGCAGCTGGACAATGGGAGAAGCAGCTGGTTGTTGGGAAGATGTGGCTGGACATTGGGAAGAAGTGGCTTGACTTCAGAAGATGGAGGAAGAGAGGCAGTTTGACTTTAGAGGAGAGCAACCTTCCCTGCCCAACCCCTTTCCAGCTCTCCTTTCTGCTGACAGCTGCTTTCATCACTCAATAAAATTGTCCACATTTGCCATCCTTCAATTCATCTGCATGACCTCATTCCTCTTGGGCACCAGACAAGAATTCGGGATACACCAAGTGCGGGTACTCAAAAAAGGCTGTCACACTGGCCCTTTGCCCTCACTGGCAGAAGACATCCCACCCCACATTATGAGGCAAAGGATCCACTGAGCTGATAACACACTGCTGTCTGCAGGTGGCAGAGGTAAGAGAACATTGTAACATGCCCTCTGGGGCCTTGGGGTGGCAGGAACCTTCACCAGGATGCTGCTGAGGGGCCCGCACAGAGTTTGCTTCTGCCAGCACCAAAGCAGCCGGTTCCTGCACTCATTTGCTCTGAGTCCTGTATTCCTTCACTTGCATGCTCCCTCCCATGAGGGATTGAGTGGGTGGCCTGACTAATTGAGGCTCCTTTGTCACTAGTCCCACGAAGGGGTCAAGAAAATATCTTGCTTCAGAATCATGCAGTATTTGTCCTTCTGTGGCTGGTTTATTTCAACTAACATACTGTCCTTCCGGTTCATTCCTGTTGGCACAAATAGTAGGGTTTCTTTCTTTTTTTTAAAAGACTCAATAGTATTCTATTTTATTTATACACCACATTTTCTTTATCCATTCAACTGTCAATAGACATTGGAGTTGCTTCCATATCTTGACTATCAGTAAGAATAGGGCTATAAACATAGGAGTAACGATATATCTTCCAAATCCTGATTTCAATTTTTTTTTTCTTTTGAGACCGAGTTTCACTCTTGTCACCCAGGCTGGAGTGCAACGGCACAATCTCAACTCACTGCAACCTGCATCTCCCGGATTCAAGTGATTCTCTTGCCAAGACCTCCTGAGTAGCTGGGATTACAGGCACATGCCACCAGCCTAGCTAATTTTTGTATTTTTAGTAGAGACAGGGTTTCACCACATTGGCCAGGCTGGTCTCGAACTCTTGACCCTAGCTGATCCACCTGCCTCGGCCTCCCAAAGTGCTGGAATTACAGGTGTGAGCCACTGCACCTGGCCCTCAATTTTTAAAATATATAACCAGAAGTGGGATTGATGGATCATATAGTAGTGCTATTTTCAGTATTTTGAGGAACTTCCGTAGGCTTTCCATAGTGACTGCATCATTTTCAGTGTTACCCTCATGGGATCATATTTCTACAACTTGGTTATTTTGTTTTGTTTTTTTATCCCCCAACTTTATGATTTTTGCTTATCATTCTCATTGTGAGTTTTATCAATACTCATGCGGAGTATGAGTATGGCCAAAATATAATAAAATAAAATTCAACCAGATTTATTATATCATTTAGGTAAAAATCTAAAATCTCTAAACCAAGGCTCCAAATAAAAATAAAATAGGCTTGCAGACAGTCAAACAAAAATGGTCTTTACTTATCCCTCCATGAAATCCTGAAGTTTTACACATAAGCCACTGAAACCCAGGACAATTAAATAACCACATATGATTTGTACACCATATCAATTTAGTTGCATAATTCAAGACCATAATTTCCCAATTTCCAATTGTAGTCTTTCCAGTCATTAACTTAATTCTGGCCTAAGCACCATAAGGTAAAACTTGTCTTTTTCATCTTTTCCTGTCCTTCTTTTTGACCCAGTATACAGTATCATGCTTTACACATAGTAGAGTGAAAATCAAACATTTGAACATATTTGCAATTGTGCCCCAATAAAGTATGACTAATTTTAGCTGACAAAACATCTTAATCAGTGTTGAATTAAAGGAAATCAAAGGGAAATGGTATTTAAATCAAGAATGCACTTGAATTTGTCCTCGGTGGAAATGTATGACCCAAATATATGCCTCCTCCCTGAATGTCATGAGTGTATTCATCACTTAGCATTACCTTTATGGACAATAGATACAAGAGTCCCAGGAGGAAAATGGATTTTTTAGGATAGCAGTTATAAGCATATGCTATCTTAAAAAGACAAAGTACAAAGGAGGAAAGGAAAATTGACATGTTTATGATCGCTCAGAAGTGGAAGAAAATAACCTAGTAATGATAGTATAATAAGGTATTACTCTGTGAGCTTTGCCCATTCGGTCCCAACCAATTGAGAAACAGCTACAAAACTGATAATTACATGCATAACTGGTATGAAATATTATTAAACCTGGCATTTTAAAAGTGTATTTCCCATTCCCCTGAAAAGTGTATGCAAATGAAAAGCGATATGAGGCTGCTCATTGAGCTAAATAAACTGAGACAAGAGTTAGATGACTCATTTAACATATTTAGGAAAATGACATGATAGAATGCATTTCTAATCTGTGACATAAAAGGAAACAGACCTGTTTTTGGTGGTGTTCAGTGGTTTCCTCATTTATGGCAAAGGGGAATTTTCTAATTAATTTATAGCCTAAAATTAACTTTTCAATTGAGCTATGACCAGGAACAGACAGCTGGTATCCCCTCAGTTGTATTACACCTGGTACCACTCAAGAGATCTAAAAGGAAAAAAAGTTGGGCCTTTGCTCACATGATAGTATGCATTTCCAGATTTATTATGTGGAGATAGACCATATTAAGCACATGGTTCTCTCAACATCTTTGTACTACTTTACTAAAAAATCAGATCATCAGTTTCATAGCTCTTTTCTTCCCTTTCTTTTTCCATTTAACATACATCATTTTTGGATTCATTCAATGAACTTTATTTCCTCCTATGTGCTAGACTGCTGTGCTAGACACCAGAGATAAGTAATAAATGAAGAAGATATACTTCTGACCTTAAGTAGGCATTAAATGAATATTGCAAAGCTTCATTGGTTCCATGAGGGGTAAAATTCATGTGTCTTTGGAAGGGAGCAAATCTAGAAAAAGCAAGATGCATCTAAACTGGTGTTGTATTTGTTTTCTTCTGTCTGTGTCTCATTCTCCTGCATGATCAAGAGAAATACATAAATTCAATTATCAGTTACCATAGCACATGGTAATCTGATTCAATTTAATAAACATTTGAAGGTAAAGATAGGGACTTTGTCTTGTTCATTGCTGTATGCCCAGTACCTAGCGTAGCACTTGGTACACAGTAGGTTTTCAAAAATCTATGTTCAAAGAAGCACTTACAGAATAAATGATAGGGTAAGGTTTTCCAATAATCAGTTGATCTATAAAAAAGCAATGAGAATACTGGCAAAAACGAATTATCAAAATCAACTTTTTCTGAAATATGGAAATTGGTCAAAGGCTTGCAGCAATCCCAGGAGTGCTTATTTAAGAATCTCAGTAAGAACACTTTTTAATTATTTAAATCACACTATTCTTATCCCTTTTCCCCAGCTATATAGAATCTCAAAAAGCAGCAGTTTTAAAACATGGTAGCTGTGAAAAACAGCATTCTGGTAGCAATTACAGGAAGCAGAATAGATTTGAGCTCCCCCTACAAAAGAAATTCCATCTCCAGGGAATTGTCACTATTTGACCTTTCTGGAAACTCCATGGAGAAGCCCCATTCACAGAGTTTGTCTTCATTTGACCTGTCTCAGGGAAAACTTAACGAGGAAAGCCTTGACTCCAGGGCATTTGTAGAAAACAATCAATGGAAATTGTTTAACATCATAGCTGTCTGAGGCAACAATACCAGCTGAGGTAAACAAGAATCTGGCCAAAAAAAAACTTGAAAGGAATATCTGGAAAATTAGATGTCCAAGTTTTGAAAACTCTCAACATTTTTGTGGGAAAAAAGAAGGCCATGCACATGAGTAAGGCAATGCACATGTTCAAGAAAATTCTGAAAAATGTCAGTGTCTGACCACTGACTGATACTGAGACTCTATACAAGCAGAAATTTCAGGCTAAGGCAGAGTTGTAAACTCTCAAACCACTGAAGCATGGAGCAGCACACATACAGAGTCCATCAACAAAGGGTGGGAGACATCAGATCAATTTATTTAAGGAAGCCCATTTGTTGTCATTCATATACACTCTGGTTTCTGGTACATTGACTTTGAATATTTTTTTATTTCTCACTTTTGATATTTCCTAATTCAAAGTCAACGTAGCAGAAAGTAGAGTGTATATGAATGACAACAAAGGCTTTAGAAAATTAGTGGAGAAAAATTACTAAACAAAAACAATAACAAATAGCAACAATGAAAAAGCCCTGGAGTTTTATTATTTTAAATATCCAGTTTTCAGCAACAGTAAAAAAACTATGAGATGCACAAAGAAACAGTAAAGTGTAGCCCATATGCAGGAAAAAGATCAGTCAATAGAAACTGTCCCTGAAGAAGCCCAATGTAGACTTGATTGACAAAGATGTTAAATTAGCTATTATAAATATACTCAAAACACTAAAGGAAAAAATGCATAAAGAATTAAAGTATAAAAACAATGTCTCATGAAATAAAGAGTATCAGTTAAGGAAAAAGGAATTATATACAAAAACAAAACAGAAATTCTGGAGGCAGAAAGTACGATAAACATAATTTAAAATTTACCAGAGAAGCTCAAAAAAGACTTGAGCTTCAGAAAAAAAGGACCAATGAACTTGAAAACAGGTTGAGATTATCCCATCTGAAGAACAGAAAGAATAAAAAATAAAGCAAAACTACCAGAGCCTAAGAGACCAGTGGTACACCGTGAAGCATACCAACATATGCATAATGGAGTCCAAGGGTGAAAGGAGAAGGGAAAAGGAACAAAACACATTTTTGAAGAAATAATAACCAAACAATTCCCAAATTTGATTAAATTTTATCTACACATCGAAGAGCCACAATGAGGTCCAATTAGGATGAACTCAGAAACATCGAAACCTTGCCACATGATCATCAAACTACTGAACAACGAAAACAAAGAGAGAATCTTGAAAGCAACAAGGGCAATGTGACCCCACACATAAAAAGGAGCCGCAATAACGTTAGCATATATAATGTTTATATAAAAATAAAGGTAATTTACATAAAAATAAAGATATTTCATATAATATAGCACTCTTTCAACAATGGAGTCCTAAATTTCATAGAAACTAACAGATTGATTTGGGAAATAGAGAATTAAACAATAATAGTTGGAGGCATTAATATCCCACTTCCAATAAGAAAACAACTATGCAGAAGTTCAATATGAAAATAGAACATTTGAAAAACATTCAAAAACAATTAGACTTAACAAATATCTATAAGACATTTCATCTAAAAACAGCTGAATATACATTTTTTTCTCCAGTGTGCATAGAATGTTCTCCAAGATAGGTGATAAAACAAACCTAAATTTAAAATATTTAATTCATAAAAAGTATATCTTCCAAACGACAATGGAATTAAGATAAAATCAATAATAGGATGATATAGTTTGGCTGTGTCCCCACCCAAATATCATCTTGAATCCCCACATGTTGTGGGAGGGACCCAGTGGGAGGTAATTGATTCATGGGGGCAGGTCATTCCTTGCTGTTCTCGTGATAGTAAATAAGTTTCACAAGATCTGATGTTTTTAAAAATGGGAGTTTCCCTGCACAAGTTCTCTCTCTCTTTTCCTGCTGCCATTCAAGTAAGATGTGACTTGCTCCTCCTTGCCTTCTGCCATGCTTGTGAGGTCTCCACAGCCACGTGGAACTGTAAGTCCATTAAACCACTTTTCCTGAATAGATTACCCAGTCTTGGGTATGTCTTTATCAGTAGTGTGAAAACAGACTAATACATAGGAGAAATTCGGAAAATTTGGAAACATACAGACATTAAACAACATATTACTAAACAACCAGTAGCACAAAGAAAATCACAAGAAAAACTGTAAAATACTTTGAGATGAATTAAAATTAAAGTGAAAATACAACATACCAAAACTTCTTGAATGAAGCTTAGGCGATACTTACATTTATAGCTAAAATTTCTGTATTAAGAAAAAAACCTCAAACCATTGGTCTAATCTTCTACATTAAAAAACTAGAAAAAGAAGAGGAAACCAAATTCAAAGTGAGAAGAAAGAAGGAAATATTTAAGATGAGACCAGAAATAAATGAAATAGAAAATAGAAAAGCAATAAACATAATGATTAAACCCAAAAGCTAGAGGAATCACCCTATCCAATGTCAAAACTTTTTACAAGGCTACAGTAAGCAAGAGAGTGTGGTATTAGCTATGCTCTCTTGATACAAAGATGGATTAAAAGAATACAAAGATACATTAGATAGATACCCAAGCATAATGAGATAAAATACATAGATCGATACAAAGAATAATGAGATAAAATTGAGAGTCCAGAACCCTTACATTTATGGTGAATTGATTTTCAATGTGATTGCCAAGTCAATTAAATAGGAGAAAGAATAGTCTTTTTAACAAATGGTGTTGGGACAAGTGAATATCTATGTGTACAAGAAGAAAGCTATAGTCCTATCTCACAACATAAACAAACATTAACCCAAAATGGTTCATAGAACTAAATGTAGGTGCTAAAACCATAAAACTCATAGAGGAAAATATAGTATTAAACCTTTGTGATCCTAGGTAATATTCAGAGATATGTTTATCTTAATCTTACTGATGGCAGTGGTGGCCCATCTGGAGCAGTGCTACCATGATGCCGACTGCAGTGGGAGAGGCAAAGCCAGGGCTGAGTGCTCCAAGAAGCCAGTTGGAGTTGGGAACAAATGGGGTCCCTGCTCCCTTCCAAGTTAGAGGAGTGGGAGCCCCACCCTCCCAGGTGCACCTGCAGCTGCTCAGTCATGACTGCAGACCTGGGCATCCTTGCACTAGGAGATCCAGAAAGTGCTGTTCCCCCACGGGCTCAAAAGTGTCTGCTCCTGATACATGGGATCTCCCCATTCCCAGTTCCTACTCTGATTTTGGAGCAAAGTTGAGGCTGAGCCAGGTGCTGTCACAACCCAGCCAAGTTTAAGTTTGCTTGGGGCAGCTCTGACATGCCAGCCGCCTACCACCTCAGGCCCCTCCAGACTTTGGGTAAAAACAAGCATGAGAGGGAGGCTGAGGGGGTGTTGAAGGCAGCTTGGTGCGGGCCTGCAGGCACCCCTCAGCATGAACCTGGGTGCTGTGGGCACTGTGGACAGCAGGTTGATGGTGGCAGGAGCAGACAGGCTCCTGGGTAGAAATGGGCATGTCCCCTGTGAAGCCCTACCTTCAAGTCAGGGATGGTCAGAAGCCTGGGTGTTGGGCTACCAGTTCTGTGGACTGGAGTGAAAACTTATGGTGGTTTTTCCAGGCCCACTCATGGCTGCCCTTGGACCAATCAACATGCACTTCCTCCCCTCTGAAGCCCATATAAACCCCAGACTCAGCCAGGCTCAGACAGATGATGGAATGACCTGCTTGCAGATGGGAGCTACCCACTCTGGGTCTCCGCTCCACAGAGGGCTGTGCAGATGATGGAATGACCTGAATGCATATAGGAGCTACTCACTCTGGGTCTCCTCTTTGCTGAGAGCTGGAAACTCATCTAGATGACCTGCCTGCAGAAAGGAGCTACCCACTTCAAGTCTGATAACCATTCTGCTATTCAATGAAGCTCCTCTCTGCCTTGCTCACCCTCCAGTTGTCTGCATACCTAATTCTTCCTTGACATGGGACAAGAACCCAGGGCCTGCTGAATTGCAGGACTTAAAGAGCTGTAACACAAACAGGGCTGAAACTTGCCCCCTCTCCACTTACCACTCACCACGTTGCAGGTAATGAGAAAAAAAGAGCTGTGGATATTTGGGGATCCTAGACCTAGGGGCTCCTCAAGCCAGGGCTGTGACACTTTCTTTGGAGTTCTGCAGTTCCTGGCATTGCCAAGCTTCCAGGCACCACCACCTTCCCCTTATCCAGATGCAGGTGCATGCAGCAGAAGCTGTGTGCAATATATGTGGTCCTCCTGCAGCCTGGCATGAAGTCGGCACTTGTGCCAGCACCTGGAGCTGCCTTTCCTGCCACAGCACCCAGTGTGCTTGGATGTACACAGGTACACAGTTGTTGGACCCTGCACTCACTCACCCACACACCCTTTGCCACTCCATGCCTGGCTCACTCTTGACAGGTATAGGATCCAGGCTTGTAGCACAAGCTGAGCACAGCCTGCTGGGCTGAGTGGATGGAATGAGCCCAGCAAGTGCAAGTAATACTCAGGCAGAAGGTGCTGCCAGCCACAGAGGTTTCCAGTTGGTGAAGCAACACCCTAAGGATCCTGTGACATTACTAAGTTTGCAGAGTTACTTAGCCAAGACATCTAGCCTTAGTGACAAAATTAATGGTAAAAACTCCAAAGCTTAAAATCTTTTAATTAGAACATATCACGCTCAAAGAGAACCCCAAAAAGCAAAAATGTCCACTTTTATTAAAGGAATCCATATTTAAAATAAAGGATCACTGTTTAAGTTTAAATCACTTAATGAATTATTCTGATTTTTTTAAAAAAATTGCTATTGTTTATAGTTACCATCAACATTTTCATGTGAAAGTTAAAGTCTTATCTCTAAGATCAGTTTTTCTACGTACTTCTGTCCCTTACTACGATAAATTTCTGACCATTTGTTCCTCGTGCTGTTTTAATAGCTTTGCATGTGTGATTTTCTGTCTGGAATGGTCTTTCTGTCTTCAACTAAATAAATACTATTTATTCTTCCAGATGGAGATTATGGCTAACCTCTCTGGGAAGTTCTTCCTCTCCCTTAGCCAGTTGGTCACACACTTTTGTCTACTTCCACAGCATTTCCTCACTCTAAGGCAGCAATTATTTTTCAGTGTATTAGAACTGCTTCTTTATCTTCCTCCTTTACTAGACAATGAGTATTTGGAGATCATGGCTTATGGTTTCTAATTTTTTTACCTGCAGTGCGTAGTATTGTAGCTATACAATAAACTTTGATTTAAAGTAAAAATAATCCCATGTTTTCTGAATATTGAAGGAATACTGCAGCATTTTTAAAAGTTATTTCCCAGTGTACAGTTGTCTCAGATTCCATATATTAGAGATGGGGAAGAATGCAAGGGCAGAGTTTGTTTTGTACATAACTACATGAATAGTACACTCTTTACTACATTGTAAGAGTACATATGTGTATTTACCTTAAGTTGAATGACAACAGATGAGGTTCAGAGACAAACCCTTTACTAATAAGATATTTTCAGTTATTTCATCCTTAAGTTATCATTGGAATGTCGTTGGAAATACAAGTTTCAAAAATTAAAACATGAAAATATTCTATGGGTTTTTATTTACTGCCCTTTGTCATTATATATTAGGCATGTATTCTGAGATTATTGGTAAGTTTAAAAGCCTTACAGAAATATTTTCCTTTTTGAATCAGCTAAAATGGATTTTAAGAGGAAATTGAAAAATGTCTCAAATCAATTCAATTTAAAAGCCAAATTCACTTATACATTTTCCACATGAATTTTGTTACAGTACTACACTGGAAAATCTTAAGACTTGCAAGATAAAATGTCCATTTCTTTAAAAAAGATAAGCCCGTTTCCTATACAGACATAAAAAAATGCACACACACACATACACATCTCACACACACACACAAAGCACATTCACATTTACCCAGCTTAAAGAATAAAAGGACATGTGAGATTCAGGGTAAGAAGAAGGGCAAAAGAATTTCAAACAATCAGAAACCAGAAAGATCTCTTCTTGACAACAAATAATAAACCACTTAAATTACAGGTAATTTCCCTCTTCCTTATGGTAAAGATCAGATGGCTATGTGAGGTATAGTGTATCAAACCAAACACACATGGGAGAAGTTGCCAAACACATCCAAGTGGAACTAAGTGGGATATTGTTGCACTGTACAACAGAATGGAACATCCCTTCTCACTGTTTCAGCCAAAACATCCCAGTAAATTTACTTCTATAACGGATACAGGCAATCCGTCCTGCTAGTGATTTGGGATGTTACCCATAAATTTCCTTGTTTTCAATGCTACTTGACAGGTCTGACACTCTTTATACTTTGATTCCATTGTTAATTCAAGTTATCAATCATTTATTATTTGATTAAAAAATAAAGACCTTGTAACTTCTTCCCTTTGTTTTACTGTGAAGAGGGTGACAAGGTTAACACAGTCTATAATTTGGACAATAATTAACTTCACTGGCTAGTATTCAGTCACAAAGAAAACATGATTAACATTACTCAAAATAAACAAAATATTTATGTTAATGTCAAATCAGGTCAGAAATGTTAGCAGCTACTCTGCAGTAAGTTTTTTAAAACAATGAGCTCAAAGGTGAATCTCTTGAGCTCCTATTTACTTTGTTATTCTATACCTCCTAAAGCTAAAACATAAACTCCTCACCTAAAATTTTCCTCACCTACTTCTTGACCCAAGGAACATGTAGTTAACTATTTTGCTTTTCATAGACTGGGAACTGTATGATATTCTAAAATCTCTTGGCTAGTGACCAGATTATTGAGGCTTCTGACGTTTGTCATCCAAATCAAAAGGAATCATACATCTAAATGGGTACCTTTAAAAAAAAATGCAGTTCGTTCTATGGACATTTGGAGGTTTGGGATTCAGCACGCTACAGTTTCAACTGTTTCACCAAAAAATAAGGAACTGCTATGGCTATTCCTTTAGGCTTCCATCAGTACCAAAATGGAAGGATTAAGAATTAAATATCTTTCACTCATACTTTCATGATAATCAGGACACAAAAGGTTGTCCTTGGTATCTTTGAAAAGTTACTTTCCTAATCAAAACAAATAATAATATTAGAACTGGGAGAGATAATTTTTGTCTTCAGAATATATAATTTAGGATTAGCTTAATATTGCTATTTGTTAATTTCTAGGTAATTGGATCTCAGAGTTAGTGATGCAGACAAACAGTTAAAAGGACATCCAGAAATAAGCAAGCTAAACTTATGTTCGGATTGGAAAAACAGTAGGTAAAGAATAGTAAGAAAGAGCAGGCAGAAAAGTAGCATTTCTCATACCAGTTACTTAGTGTTATGTCACAGCCAGTCAGATACACCAGGGGCTTACATGCTTGGTGCCCCTGTTGTATCTTTCCAGGATCGTGATTCACTGTAATACTTATACCCGTTTCATTTTTGTCAACTTAGCATATCTTGACTTTCTATAATTTAAATTTTAAAAATAAACTCCTCTTAATTTACTTCCAACTTTCCTCCTGTGCATCCACCATAAAATGTTGTCTCCTATAATATTTGTCACTTAAAATCACATTGTTTACATTTTTTACATAACACGAATTAAATCTTCTGTTCTTTTATGTAGTTTCATTTTCAGTGATTTCAGTTATGGTTATATAACTATTTTTCTCTACATAACTCTTTATTGTAGTTGAATGTATAGTGACAGAAATGGAAGCTTGAGTCAAAAGAGGTTCCTGCAAAAGAAAATGTCAAATGAATTACCTTTCAAAGACTATTCCTATTTACATATTTATGTAATACCATGCTATAGTGTTGTTTGCTTCTTATTTCGATCATGATTTTCTTGTAAAGGCTTTGGGTTTTTTCTCTCCCTTTTATTAGTTTATGATTTCACCAGAATGCTAAGATTATGTATCCACGTCTTATTTTTTATTGTTATAAATTTAAAGGGTACAAGTTCAGTATTGTTACATGGATATATTGCACAGTGGTGAAGTCTGGACTTTTAGTGTATTCATCACCTGAATAATATGCATCGCACCCATAATTTCTCATCCTCACTCCCATCCACCCTCTCATTTTTCCTAGTTTTCAGTCTCTAACATTTCACACTCTATGTCATATGTACACATTATTTAGCTCTCACTTATGAGTAAAAACGTGTGATATTTGACTTTCTGTTTGAGTTGTTTCACCTAAGATAATGACCTCCAGTTCCATCCATGTTTCTGCAAAAGACATAATTTCATTCTTTTTATGGCTGAATAGTATTCTATTGTGTATATATACAACATTTTCTTTAGCTAATCATGGTATATTTTTGATATGCAGGTATATAATGCAGGTATATTTTTGATATTATGATTTATTTCCCTTTGAGTAGATTCCCAGGAGTGGGATTGCTAAATTGAATAGTAGTTCTATTTTTAATTCTTTGAGAAATCTCCATATTGTTTTCCATAGAGATTGTACTAATTTACATTCCCACAAACAGTGCATAGGTGTTCATTTTCTCAGCATGCTCGCCAACATCTTTTTTTTTTTACTTTTTAATAATAGACGTTCTGTCTGTATGTGTGAATAAATAATATTTTATTTAGCTTTGTTTTTTTATTGCATTGCAGATATATGAGGCTTGCTTTTTTCACTTAATATTGTGTTTCTAAAATTTATCCCTACTGTAAGTGTGGTAGTAGTTCATTAATTTTCACAGCTGAGGACTTTTTTAAAGTGCGTTTTTTAAAACTGAGATATAACTTACATTAAATACATATACAAATCTTAAGTTGAACGAATCTTTAATGTGAATACACTTCTTTAACTACAACTCAGATTAAAAAAAAGGACATTTCCCCCATCTCAGAAAGCCCTTTGTAGCCTTCCGCTTCCAGAGATAATTACTATTCTAATATTTGTCATTGTAAATCGGCCTACGTTGAACTTTATATACATAGAATCATTCGGTGTGTATTCGTTTACACCTGATTTTTTTCACTCAGTGTTATTTTTTTGATATTCATGTTATTGTAAATGCAGGACCAGCCCAAACTGTGCCTTGCTCTGTTGTTAACAAACTGTTAACTTGCCTTATAGATATAACAGAGCACCAAACTGCAAGTCATGTAGTCCAGGCATGGGCAACAGAAAAAGCTTTGACCTCTAGCAACACCCAAAACCAAATATTCCTACCCTGGGAACCAAGAAGACTAGAACATGACCAGAACCTAAACACTAGAACTCTTTCAGAAGTGTCTGTTGACCTGGAAGACCCAGAGTTTAAATCTGTTTCAATATACCCCACCATAAATAGGCAAATTTAAAGCCTTCTAATCCAACCCAACCAAGTTGACATTGATAAACCATTTCCCTTGCTTTCTTAGCCCATAAACTTGCCCCAGACAGATTTGAACCTGCCTTCTGTCTCCACAATGACTGGTTTTGAAATAAAGGCTTTGTTTTCTCAAAAAAAAAAAAATTAAAATAATAATAAAAATAGCTATTCTGTTTCCAGGACTTTTTTAAATTATACTTTAAGTTCTAGGGTACATGTGCACAATGTGCAGGTTTGTTACATATGTATACATGTGCCATATTGCTTTGCTGCACCCATTAACTCATCATTTACATTAGGTATTTCTCTGACTGGTGTCAGATGATATCTTACTCTGGTTTTATTTTGCATATCTCTGGAAATTAGTGATGTTAAGCACTTTTTTGTGCTCTTGTTGGCCATTTGTATGTCTTTTTTTTAAAATGTGTCGATTTATGGCTTTAACAACTTTTTAATGTGTTTATTTGGCTTTTGTTATCACTGTTGAGTTGTTTCAGTTTCTTGTATATTCTTGTTACTAGTCTCTTCTAAGTTTCATGTTTTGCGTATATTTTCTCCCATTCCACAGGTTGTCAGTTCACTCTGTTGATATTTCTTTTGCTGTGCAGAAGCTTTTTAATTAATTCATTTGTCCAATTTTGGTTGTGTTGCTTGTGCTTTTGAAGTCTTAGTCATAAATTATTTGACTAGATCAATGTCCAAAACAGTTTTCCCTAGGTTTTCTTCTAGTATTTTTACAGTTTCTTTATTCCATCTTGAGCTAATATGTGTATATGGTGAGAGATGGGAGCCCATTTCTATTCTTCTACATATGGCAAAGCTATTTTCTCAGCACCATTTATTGTAAAGGGTGTCCTTTCCCCAGGTATGGTTTTCCAATATTGGCAAAAAATTGGTGTGCATATGTGTATTTATTTCTGGGTCCTCTATTCTATTCTACATAACTATGCATCCATTTTTATACCAGAATCATGCTGTTTTAATTCCTATTAGCCTTGTAGCATAAAGTCAGGTAATGTGATGCCTTTCGCTTTGCTCTTTTCGCTTAGGATTGGTTTGAGTATTCAGGCTCCTTTTTAGTTCCAAATGAATTTTAGAAATGTTTTTTTCTGAGCCAAGGTGGACGAACAGGAACAGCTCCGGTCTACAGCTCCCAGCGTGAGCAACGCAGAAGACAGGTGATTTCTGCATTTCCATCTGAGGTACCGGGTTCATCTCACTAGGGAGTGCCAGACAGTGGGCACAGGACAGTGGGTGCAGTGCACCGTGCACGAGCCGAAGCAGGGCGAGGCATTGCCTCACTCGGGAAGCACAAGGGGTCAGGGAGTTCCCTTTCCTAGTCAAAGAAATGGGTGACAGACGGCACCTGGAAAATCAGGTCATTCCCACCCTAATACTGCGCTTTTCCGACGGGCTTAAAAAAGGGCGCACCAGGAGATTATATCCTGCACATGGCTCAGAGGGTCCTATGCCCACAGAGTCTCACTGATTACTAGCACAGCAGTCTGAGATCAAACTGGAAGGTGGCAGCGAGGCTGGGGGAGGGGCGCCCGCCATTGCCCAGGCTCGCTTAGGTAAACAAAGCAGCCGGGAAGCTCCAACTGGCTGGAGACCACCACAGCTCAAGGAGGCCTGCCTGCCTCTGTAGGCTCCACCTCTGGGGGCAGGGCACAGACTAACAAAAAGACAGCAGTAACCGCTGCAGACTTAAATGTCCCTGTCTGACAGCTTTGAAGAGAGCAGTGGTTCTCCCAGCATGTAGATGGAGATCTGAGAACGGGCAGACTGGTCCTCAAGTGGGTCCCTGACCCCTGACCCCTGAGGAGCCTAACTGGGAGGCACCCCCCAGTAGGGGCAGACTAACACCTCACACGGCCGGGTACTCCTCTGAGACAAAACTTTCAGAGGAACGATCAGACAGCAGCATTTGCGGTTCATCAAAATCCGCTGTTCTGCAGCCACTGCTGCTGATACCCAGGCAAACACAGTCTGGAGTGGACCTCTAGCAAACTCCAACAGACCTGCAGCTGAGGGTCCTGTCTGTGAGAAGGAAAACTAACAAACAGAAAGGACAGCCACAACAAAAACCCATCTGTACATCACCATCATCAAAGACCAAAAGTAGATAAAACCACAAAGATGGGGAAAAAACAGAGCAGAAAAACTGGAAACTCTAAAAAGCAGAGCGCCTATCCTCCTCCAAAGGAATGCAGTTCCTCACCAGCAATGGAACAAAGCTGGATGGAGAATGACTTTGACAAGTTGAGAAAAGAAGTCTTCAGACAATCAAACTACTCTGAGCTACGGGAGGAAATTCAAACCAAAGGCAAAGAAGTTAAAAACTTTGAAAAAAATTTAGACGAATGTATAACTAGAATAAGCAATACAGAGAAGTGCTTAAAGGAGCTGATGGAGCTGAAAGCCAAGGCTCGAGAACTACGTGAAGAATGCAGAAGCCGCAGGAGCCGATGCGATCAACTGGAAGAAAGGGTATCAGTGATGGAAGATGAAGTGAATGAAATGAAGCGAGAAGGGAAGTTTAGAGAAAAAAGAATAAAAAGAAATGAACAAAGCCTCCAAGAAATATGGGACTATGTGAAAAGACCAAATCTACATCTGATTGGTGTACCTGAAAGTGACGGGGAGAATGGAACCAAGTTGGAAAACACTCTTCAGGATATTATCCAGGAGAACTTTCCCAATCTAGCAAGGCAGGCCAACATTCAGATTCAGGAAATACAGAGAACGCCACAAAGATACTCCTCGAGAAGAGCAACTCCAAGACACATAATTGTCAGATTCACCAAAGTTGAAATGAAGGAAAAAATGTTCAGGGCAGCCAGAGAGAAAGGTCGGGTTACCCACAAAGGGAAGCCCATCAGACTAACAGCTGATCTCTTGGCAGAAACTCTACAAGCCAGAAGAGAGTGGGGACCAATATTCAACATTCTTAAAGAAAAGAATTTTCAACCCAGAATTTCATATCCAGCCAAACTAAGCTTCATAAGTGAAGGAGAAATAAAATACTTTACAGACAAGCAAAGGCTGAGAGATTTTGTCACCACCAGACCTGCCCTAAAAGAGCTCCTGAAGGAAGCACTAAACATGGAAAGGAACAACCAGTACCAGCCACTGCAAAATCATGCCAAATTGTAAAGACCATCGAGGCTAGGAAGAAATGGCATCAACTAACGAGCAAAATAACCAGCTAACATCATAATGACAGGATCAAATTCACACATAACAATATTAACTTTAAATGTAAATGGACTAAATGCTCCAATTAAAAGACACAGACTGGCAAATTGGATAAAGAGTCAAGACCCATCAGTGTGCTGTATTCAGGAAACCCATCTCATGTGCAGAGACACACGTAAGCTCAAAACAAAAGGATGGAGGAAGATCTACCAAGCAAATGGAAAACAAAAAAAAGGCAGGGGTTGCAATCCTAGTCTCTGATAAAACAGACTTGAAACCAACAAAGATCAAAAGAGACAAGGCCATTACATAATGGTAAAGGGATCAATTCAACAAGAAGAGCTAACTATCCTAAATATATATGCACCCAATACAGGAGCACCCAGATTCATAAAGCAAGTCCTGAGTGACCTACAAAGAGACTTAGACTCCCACACAATAATAATGGGAGACTTTAACACCCCACTGTCAACATTAGACAGATCAACGAGACAGAAAGTTAACAAGGATACCCAGGATTGAGCTCAGCTCTGCACCAAGCAGACCTAATAGAAATCTATAGAACTCTCCAGCCCAAATCAACAGAATACACATTCTTTTCAGCACCACACCACACCTATTCCAAAATTGACCACATACTTGGAAGTAAAGCTCTCCTCATCAAATGTAAAAGAACAGAAATTATAACCAACTGTCTCTCAGACCACAGTTTGCAATCAAACTAGAACTCAGGATTAAGAAACTCACTCAAAACCGCTCAACTACATGGAAACTGAACAACCTGCTCCTGAATGACTACTGGGTACATAACGAAATGAAGGCAGAAATAAAGATGTTCTTTGAAACCAATGAGAACAGAGATACAACATACCAGAATCTCTGGGACACATTCAAAGCATTGTGTAGAGGGAAATTTATAGCACAAAATGCCCACAAGAGAAAGCAGGAAAGATCCAAAATTGACACCCTAACATCACAATTAAAAGAACTAGAGAAGCAAGAGCAAACATATTCAAAAGCTAGCAGAAGGCAAGAAATAACTAAAATCAGAGCAGAACTGAAGGAAATAGAGACACAAAAAAACTCTTCAAAAAATTAATGAATCCAGGAGCTGGTTTTTTGAAAGGATCAACAAAATGGATAGACCGCTAGCAAGACTAATAAAGAAGAAAAGAGAGAAGAATCAAATAGACGCAATAAAAAATGACAAAGGGGATATCACCACCGATCCCACAGAAATACAAACTACCATCAGAGAATACTACAAACACCTCTATGCAAATAAACTAGAAAATCTAGAAGAAATGGATAAATTCCTCGACACATACACCCTCCCAAGACTAAACCAGGAAGAAGTTGAATCTCTGAATAGACAAATAACAGACTCTGAAATTGTGGCAACAATCAATAGCTTACCAACCAAAAAGAGTCCAGGACCAGATGGATTCACAGCCGAATTCTACCAGAGGTACAAGGAGGAACTTGTACCATTCCTTCTGAAACTATTCCAATCAATAGAAAAAGAGGGAATCCTCCCTAACTCATTTTATGAGGCCAGCATCATCCTGATACCAAAGTCTGGCAGAGACACAACAAAAAAAGAGAATTTTAGACCAATATCCTTGATGAACATTGATGCAAAAATCCTCAATAAAATACTGGCAAACCGAATCCAGCAGCACATCAAAAAGCTTATCCACCATGATCAAGTGGGCTTCATCCCTGGGATGCAAGGCTGGTTCAACATACACAAATCAATAAATGTAATCCAGCATATAAACAGAACCAAAGACAAAAACCACATGATTATCTCAATAGATGCAGAAAAGGCCTTTGACAAAATTCAACAACTCTTCATGCTAAAAACTCTCAATAAATTAGGTATTGATGGGACGTATCTCAAAATAATAAGAGCTATGTATGACAAACCCACAGCCAATATCATACTGAATGGGCAAAAACTGGAAGCATTCCCTTTGAAAACTGGCACAAGACAGGGATGCCCTCTCTCACCACTCTTATTCAACATAGTCTTGGAAGTTCTGGCCAGGGCAATTAGGCAGGAGAAGGAAATAAAGGGTATTCAATTAGGAAAAGAGGAAGTCAAATTGTCCCTGTTTGCAGATGACATGATTGTATATCTAGAAAACCCCATTGTCTCAGCCCAAAATCCCCTTAAGCTGATAAGCAACTTCAGCAAAGTCTCAGGATACAAAATCCATGTACAAAATCACAAGCATTCTTATACACCAATAACAGACAAACAGAGAGCCAAATCATGAGTGAACTCCCATTCACAATTGCTTCAAAGAGAATAAAATACCTAGGAAACCAACTTACAAGGGACATGAAGGACCTCTTCAAGGAAAACTACAAACCACTGCTCAATGAAATAAAAGAGGATGCAAACAAATGGAAGAACATTCCATGCTCATGGGTAGGAAGAATCAATATTGTGAAAATTGCCTTACTGCCAAAGGTAATTTATAGATTCAATGCCATACCCATCAAGCTACCAATGACTTTCTTCATAGAAATGGAAAAAACTACTTTAAAGTTCATATGGCACCAAAAAAGAGCCCGCATCGCCAAGTCAATCCTAAGCCAAAAGAACAAAGCTGGAGGCATCACGCTACCTGACTTCAAACTATACTACAAGGCTACAGTAACCAAAACAGCATGGTACTGGTACCAAAACAGAGATATAGATTAACGGAACAGAACAGAGCCCTCAGAAATAATGCCGCATATCTACAACTATCTGATCTTTGACAAACCTGAGAAAAACAAGCAATGGGGAAAGGATTCCCTATTTAAGAAATGGTGCTGGGAAAACTGGCTAGCCATATGCAGAAAGCTGAAACTGGATCCCTTCCTTACACCTTATACAAAAATTAATTCAAGATGGATTAAAGACTTAAATGTTAGACCTAAAACCATAAAAACCCTAGAAGAAAACCTAGACATTACCATTCAGGACATAGGCATGGGCAAGGACTTCATGTCTAAAACACCAAAAGCAATGGCAACAAAAGCCAAAATTGACAAATGGGATCTAATTAAACTAAAGAGCTTCTGCACAGCAAAAGAAACTACCATCAGAGTGAACAGGCAACCTACAAAATGGGAGAAAATTTTCGCAACCCAGTCATCTGACAAAGGGCTAATATCCAGAATCTACAATGAACTCAAACAAATTTACAAGAAGAAAACAAACAATCCCATCAAAAAGTGGGTGAAGGACATGAACAGACAATTCTCAAAAGAAGACATTTATGCAGCCAAAAAACACATGAAAAAATGCTCACCATCACTGGCCATCAGAGAAATGCAAATCAAAACCACAATGAGATACCATCTCACACCAGTTAGAATGGCAATCGTTAAAAAGTCAGGAAACAACAGGTGCTGGAGAGGATGTGGAGAAATAGGAACACTTTTACACTGTTTTTGGGACTGTAAACTAGTTCAACCATTGTGGAAGTCAGTATGGTGATTCCTCAGGGATCTAGAACTAGAAATACCATTTGACCCAGCCATCCCATTACTGGGTATATACCCAAAGGACTATAAATCATGCTGCTATAAAGACACATGCACACATTTGTTTATTGTGGCACTATTCACAATAGCAAAGACTTGGAAACAACCCAAATGTCCAACAATGATAGACTGGATTAAGAAAATGTGGCACATATACACCATGGAATACTATGCAGCCATGAAAAATGATGAGTTCATGTCCTTTGTAGGGACATGGATGAAATTGGAAATCATCATTCTCAGTAAACTATCGCAAAGACCAAAAAACAAACACCGCATGTTCTCACTCATAGGTGGGAATTGAACAATGAGAACACATGGTCACAGGAAGGGGAACATCACACTCTGGGGACTGTTGTGGGGTGGGGGGAGAGGGGAGGGATAGCATTAGGAGATATACCTAATGCTAAATGACAAGTTAATGGGTGCAGCACACCAGCATGGCACTTGTATACATATGTAACTAACCTGCACGTTGTGCACATGTACCCTAAAATTTAAAGTATAATAATAATAAAATAAAATAAAATAGAAATTTTTTTTTCTACTTCAGAGAAAAATTATGCTGCTATTTTAATAGGGATTGCATTGAATTTGTATATTGTTTTTGGTATTATGGTCATTTTAACAATAATAATTTTCCTGATCCATGAGTGTGGGACGTTTTTCATTTGTTTCTGTCATCTACAATGATTTTCAATTTGTAGTCTTTCTTGTAGAAATCTTTCATCTCCTTGTTTAAATTCATCCCCAAATCATTTAAATTTATTCCTAAGTCATTTTATTATTGTAAATGGGATTAAGTCCTTGCTTTGGTTCTCTGCTTGATTATTATGAGTGTATAGAAATACTACTGATTTTTATACATTGATAATGTGTCCTGAAACTTTATGGAATTTATTTAACAAGTCTAAGCAGTTTTTGATGGAGTTTTCATGGTTTTCTAGATGTAAGATTATATCCTCTGCAAACAGAAAATTTGACTTCCTGTTTTCCACTTTGGATGCCTTTATTTCTTTCTCTTGTCTGATAGCTCTGGCTAAGACTTCTAGTACTATGTTGAATAGCAGTGGTGAGAATGGCATTCTTGTCTTGTTCCAGGTCTTAAGAGTGATGCTTTCAACTTTCCCCCCATTCACTGTAATGTTCGCTTTGAGTTTGTTATATATGACTCATTATTTTGAGCTATGCCCTTCTATGCCTAGATTGTTGAGGGTTTTTATCAGGAAGAGATGGTGAATTTTATCAAATGCTTTTCCTGCATCTATTGAGTACATGGCTTTTGTCCTTACTTGTGTTTATGTGATGAATTACATTTATTGATTTGCATCCTTTTATTTTTCTTTTTTTTTTCTTGAGACAGAGTCTCGTTCTGTCACCCAGGCTGGAGTGCAGTGGCGCGATCTCAGCTCTCTGCAACCCCCACCTCCGGAGTTCAAGAGATTCTCCTGCCTCAGCCTCCTGAGGAGCTGGGATTATAGGCATGCTCCACCATGCCCGGCTAATTTTTGTATTTTTAGTAGAGACAAGGTTTCACCATGTTGGCTAGGCTAGTCTCGAACTCCTGACCTCAAGTGATCTACCTGCCTCGGCCTCTGAAAGTGCTGGGATTACAGGCTGAGCCACTGCACCCAGCCTGAACCATCCTTTCATTCCAGGAGTACATTCCAGTTTGTCATTGTTGATTATATTTTTGATGTGCTATTGGATTTGGTTTGCTAGTATTTTGTTGAGGATTTTTGCATCTATGTTTATTTGGGATATTCGTGTGTAGTTTTTTGTTGTTGTTGTGTCTCTGACTGGTTTGGTTATCAGGGTGACACTGGTTTCAAAAGTGATATAGGGAGACATTTCTTCTCCTCAGTTTTTAGGAATAGTTTTAGGATTGGTACCAGTTATTTGTATGTTCAGTAGAAGTCAACTGTGAACCCATCTGGTCCAGGCTTTTGGGGGATTGGGGAGGGGTAGATTTTTATTATTGATTCAATCTCACTATTGGTTACTGGTCTTGTTAGGATTTCTATTTCTTCCTGGCTCACTCTTGGAAGGCTTATATTTCTAAGAATTTATTCATTTTGTCTAGGTTTGCTAGTTTGTTAGTATATGGTTGTTCATAATAGTCTCTGATGATCTTTTGCATTTCTGCCATACCAGTTGTAGCATCTCCTTTTTCATTTCTGATTGTGTTTATCTGGATCTTCTCTCCTCTTTTCTTTGGTTAGTCTAGTCAGCAGTTAATCAATTTTGTTTATCTTTTGAAGAACCAGCTTTTCATTTTGTTCATCCTTTATATTGGATTTTTTGGTCTTTATTTCATTTAGCTCTGCTTTGATTTTTTTATTTATTTTCTTCTGCTAGCTTTGGGTTTCATTTTTTTGTTTGTTTGTTTTACTAGTTCCTTCAGGAGTGATGATAGGTTGTTAACTTGTGATCTTTCTATTTTTTTAATGTATGTATTTAATGCTATAAACTGCCCTCTTGTTACTGCTTTTGCTCTATCTCAGAGGTTTAGGTACATAGTTTCAATTTTCATTCATTTCAAAAATTGTTTAAAGTTCTGTCTTAATATGATAATTGATCCAAAGATGATTCATGAGGATGTTATTTAATTTCCATGTATTTGTATTGTTTCCAAAGTTTCTTTTGGAATTGATTTCTAGCTTTATTCCACTGTGACCTGAGAAGATACTTGATATGATTTTCATTTTAAGTCTATTGAGACTTGTTTTGTGGCCTAATATATAGTCTACCTTGAAGAATGTTTCATGTGTTGATGACATGAATGCATATTCTGTAGTTTCTGGGTAGACTGTTCTATAAATGTCTGTTAGGTCCATTTGGTCTAAAGACTAATTCAAGTCTAATATTTCTTTGTTAAATTTTCTATCTCAGTGATCTCTCTAGTGCTGTGAGTAGGGTATTAAAGTCCCCCACTATTATTATATTGTTACGTCTTTTTTAGGTCTAATAATATTTGTTTTATGAATATAGGTGCTCAGGTGTTGGGCATATATAGTTTTAGGATTTTCATACCATTTTGCTTAATTGATCTCTTTATCATTATACAGTTACCTTCTTTGTCTATTATGACTGTCTTTGATTTAAAGTCTGTTTTATCTTATATAAGCATGACAACTCCTAGTTGCTTTTCATTTCCATTTGCAATGGAATATCTTTTTCTGCCTGTTCACTTTGAGTCTATATGTGTCTTTACAGGTGAGTTTCCTATAAGCAGCACTTGGTTGGATTCTGTTTTTTATATATTTTGCCAATCTATATCTTTTAAGTGGAGCATTTAATCCAATTACATTGAAGGTTAATATTGATATGTGGGGTTTGTTCCTGTCATATTGTTGTTTGTTGTTTTATACATATTTGTTTCTTCTTTATTTCTCTAGTTGTTTTTCTTTGTGGATTTTTGTCATGTTGTCATTTGGCTTCTCTTCCTCCTTTGTGAAATTGTTTTATAAAACCTGTGGGTTTTATTCTTTCATATGTTTTTATGAAGGAAAATATCAATCTTTTGTTTTATGTTTAGAACTCCTTTGAACATTTATTGTAGGGCTAGTATAGTGGTTACAAATTTCCTCAGTGTTTACTTGTCAGGGAAAGACTATTTCTCCTTCATTTATGAAGTATAGTTTAACGGGATACAAAATTCTAGGCTAAAAGATATTTTCTTTTAGCACTTTGAAAATAGAATATCATTCTCTTCAAGCTTGTGAGGTTTCTGCTAAGAAGTTCATCATTAGTCTGATGGGGTTTTCTTTATTGATGACTTGATATTTTTCTTTTGTTAATTTTAGAATTTTTTCCTTCCCATTGACTTTAGACAATCTGATGACTATATGGCATGCTGAAGTATGTTTTGCAATGCATTTTCTTGGTGACTGTCGGTCCTCCTGTGTGTGGATACCCAAGTATCTTGCTAAGCTAGCGAAGTTTTCATCAATTATTTCCTTAAATAACTTTTCTAAACTTTTTACTTTTTTTCTTCTTTAGGAATACTGATTGTTTATGTTTGGTTGCTTTATGTAATCCCATACTTCTTGAAGATTTTGTTCATTCTTTTTTATTTTTTATTTGTTTTTGTCTAGCTAGATTAGCTCAAAAGACCTGTCTTCAAGTTCTGAGATTCATTCTTCTGCTTGGTCTAGTCTGTTAAAGCTTTCATGTATATTTAGTAATTCTTTCAATGAATCTTTTATTTCCAAAAGTTCTGCTTGGTTTTTTATAAAATATTCTTGGTAAACTTCTCATTTATATCCTGAATTGTTATATCTGATTTCCTTATATTATTTTCAGATTTCTCTTGCATCTTATTGGTCCTCTTTAAAAATCAATACTTTGGATTATTTAGAATTTTGAATGTTTCTTTCTTATTAGTATCCATTACTAGAGAACTACTGTGTTCCTTTGGAGGTGTCACAATACCTTGCTCTTCCATACTTCTTGTACTATTGTGCTGATTTTTTTGCATCTGAAGAAACAGTTATTTCTTATTTTTAAATTTACTCTCATTGAGATGGGACTTTTTTGCTTGAAATTGTGACATCATAATGATTATGTTGAGTATAATCATTTGGCTTTGCTTCTGGATGTGTTCAGTGTTGACAACTCTGTATGATTTCCTTGGTTATAAATAGCCTTAGTGTGGTGGTGTTCTCAAATGCCAGTTGTAGTAGTGATGTACCAGACAGATGAGTGATCTCATGACTTCCTGAGTAACCAGGGTGGTGTGAGCTATGTAACAAAGTTCGTAAGGTAATTCTTATCTCATTCCCAAGTGCTTTGCTCTTTTGTCAGCCAGTAGTGTAATGGGATATTTAGGTCAACTTCCAGTCCAGTGGGTGGTACTTGTAGGTAAGAGCCAGCTACAATGGAGGCAGTACTGTTTATACTTGGTTTTTGTTAACCAAGATAAGTACTCAGGTGCCCCGGGCTATGGGCTGGGCCATAGAACACTCAATTGTCTGAGTCCTGCGCTCAGCCTCAGGGAGGGGGCAAAGTTGGGCAGAGCTGGACAGGTCAAAGCAGCACTCAGGTCCCCCAGTGGTGGGCACAAGCACCAGCCCTGACAAATAAGTGGAGAAGTCTCCAGGCCTTTGCAGAAATGCCTGGGCAAGGAGTAAAGCAACTGCTGCTGCACCAAGGTCCTAGTATGGGAAGGGTGGGGTGGCCCTGGTGCCAAGGCCAGGTAAGCAGAGGTGGGACCAAACTCATTCTCACACTTCAGACCTAGCAGGGCTCACTCCACCAGCCCAAGCAAAGGAGCCAGTCAATGACACTCAGTAAACTCACAATCTGCCTCCAGTCCACAAACCCACCCTGTGTATGTGTGTGTGCATGCATGTGAGCGAATTAGGGCTCTAATTCCCACTTTTGGCAACAGCACCTATCAATGCCTGCACATGAGAGCTGCTGAGGCCCTAACGAGTACCATCTCATTAAACTGGTGTCAACATATTGGAACTGTGCAGTTTGTATATACATGAAACATTAGGCAAATGTGTCTGGATAACAGAAGCAGCATGCCTAGTCAGTAATTTTCCTTGAGCGAGAAGGAATTCTACCAGAATATATCCCTTGGCCTTGAACTAAAACTTTTCCTGAGTCTCCAGCCTGCCAGTCTACCTCATCTTGGGCTCTTAACTTCCACACCCCTCTATAGCTTTGAAGACTTTCAAGAAGGAAAGCTCTTGTGGTGGACACCACAATATGCTATAACATCTCATGTATTGAATCAACAACTTATTATTCTCTGCTAGTGGAAGTGAAGCTAGAGACAGCCCTCAGTTGTCAGCTGTCTTTAGGGATTAACTCATCCAATAAAAAATTGTCTTGCTCAATATCTCATCTATTTCCGGGACCATTCTGCCCAGTGACTAATAGTGCAGAGGTATAAAGACTCAATCTCTTCAATGCAACTCAGGACAAATCTGATGAGATTTTCCAACTTGAATTGAGGCTTTTGTTGGGTTTGCAGCACTGGCCATCCCCTCCTGTATCCAATACTGCTTCCTTCCTTTCTCTTCCACAGGTATTACTCTCAAGAAGATCCCCTAATAAATGACCTGCATTCTAATCTGCATCTTAGAGACTATTTCTGAAGAGATTCAACCTGCAAAACTTGTTCTCTCTACCGTGAAAACATTCTGCACTGTCTTTACCCCTGCTAAAAAAGTAGAGTATATTAGCAATCTCCTTTTGCAAACTGATATCCCAACTAAAAATGAGATTAAAGTCTCCCTTTCCTGAATGCACTTCTAATTTCTATGGATTATTTGCTTGAAGTTCTTCTTACTTGGGTGGCAGTGTGATGCAAAACTTCCCGCTTCTCCTTGCCGTCTCAAGTGCTTCATCAATCCTCTGCATTTCTTATTTTTATACTCATTCATGCCTCAAAAATCACATTCAAATTCTTCAAAAAGACTCCTCATTTGGTTACACTCTCAGCATGGCACCAAGAGAGTCCATGTGCAGTCAGACATCTAACAAAAGAACAAGATCCAATGCCCATTCTACTAGGTATCTTCTGTCTTTAAGAGTGCTTTTCTTGGTGCCTTTCCTCACTTGACTGGGAGAGTGCCCTTCCTCTCTACCACAGCAGTTACCTCCTTTGTGAGGACTCACTGAAAGAAGATTGGATCATAAAATTTTGGAGATTATCTGTTAATTTTAGTTATTTTTTGCTTCTTTATGTACACAAATATTCTCTATTTGACTATTATGCTACTAACATTACTGGAAAGTTTTGGGTGTTTTCTCTTCATCTCTGCTACCCTTTGCAAATAAAATTAAATCAACATATAGTTTTACTACATTTCATAATGCTAATAAAAACTGCTAGCAGGCTTTGCTTTTGGAGTGGTTTTACTAGTTTCCTAATGAGTTCATTGAGTCACTACTTTAACTCAAGGGCTCGATTGTAATTATGACCAGACACTGTAAGATAGCTAGCCAAGGTCAGGAGTGCATTTTACTCATGGATCAGAGTTCTCTATTGGAAGATAAATAGCCCCTGCTATCATTAATATCATAGTGCAGCCTTTTGAACTAACTATGCATCTTATAAAACCTAGGTCTTCCACATCTCACTGAGCCCCAAATAGAAATGATAGCATGAATCCTTGCTAAGAGTGGGTTTTGTGGAAATGACTGAAATGATATGGTTTACAAACTTACATTATACCTCATTACATCAAAATCTTCCATCTTCCCAACCACCAAGCAGGAGTACATCCATTATCTATTCATACTATGTATGCTTTAATGCTTAGATGAAAACAAAATAATACAATAGTCTATCTTCCTTTAGCTTCAGACTAGATATTTTATACCCCTCAAAAATATTGCCTAATAAAATGAATGTTATCTTTCTGTTTTAAATATATATATTTGCTTAAATCTTTTATCATGTTTTTGGTGTTCTTCCTTTTTTGAAGTTCATTTCAATAATACTATCCTTTAATCTTAATTCTCTTACTTAAAAATATTCCACCTTACTGATGAGATTCCAAAGTTTCTTTCACATCATTAGTAAAATGTGTCCCAGTAGGTAGCGGTCAAATAGACAAGATCATTCAAGCATTTCTCAATTAGTTAAGAAACTTTTGATGCATCACATTTATCGTTCTCAGTGAACAAAATATCTTAGAAATGTTTTCTTCAGGTCAAAGGGCAAATTTAGCATAATAGCTAGCCAAATTTTTATATAATTAAATCATATGGGGATTTAGGCCTTCTATTACTTTAGTTGCATATGATACGAGTAGTGCTTACTAAATCGTGACCCACTGAGAACGGAAAATAATTGAGAAAGTGACCTTGGCACATTAGAAAAGGAAGCATGGAGGCTTTTGGCAGTGTAAAATAATATAATTACAAGTAGGCTGAAGTTCAGGGGGAAAAAAACCTATAATTGTATAGAAAAACAAAAGGTAGCTGACTCTGCTCTCACATTGTTGGGTGAGGATTTTGGGTTCCAGTATGTGGCACACTATATTTTAAATGATTTATAAAAATAAATATGTGCAATACTAAACAAGTAGTTTAGATATTTGGAAATGATATTTTCCATGATTATTAACAATTAAACTTTTAGAAAGAATATAGAGCCATTAGGTGAGCAATAATAGCAGTCATGCTGGTGGGACAGAATAAAAGAGAAACATTTTTGGAAGGTTAGGTTTGATGTAACTATCAGTTGCACAGTGAATTTAATGCAACTATGTATTAGTGGAGTTAGACACATCCAGGTTTAAGTTTCTGTTCTGTCACTTATATACTAGCTGATGACTTTGTGCAAAATATGCACCTCTCTGTGCCAGTTTTCTGATTTACAAAATGGTGTCAATTATTGGACTTTTATCAAGATTAAATTAGAAAATGTATATAGAACAGTTCAGGGCCTAGCACATAGTAAGTAGTAAATTTGATGCTATTTTATCAGTAACTTTTGAGAATATGGATGGTTGGAATTAGACTGAATTTCCAAGAGTGCTTTAAGTCATACAACCTTGTGAGAAGGTTCTGAAGCATATAGGTGAGATCCAAGACAAGAAAGAAGCAAAGAGTTTTTTAGTCTTCCCTGCCTCTTTCCATTCTCTATCTTCAATAATAACTTTGGGTGGCTTTTAGGAAATTCCTCTCTGAGGAACTAAAATTTGCATATTCAACAATCCTAGAAATTTCTCTGTAATTTTTATGGGAACTGTATAGAAAAACATTTTAATACCTCAAAAATTCTTCATGAGATCGAACAATTCAGTTTTGTTCTAACTGCAGTTAGGGAATTACTTGTCTCTACAGACAGAGTGTATTTGGGAGATGGTACTTCAGGCAATTGACACTTAACACCTGTCACCAAAGCAGCACTTGTTCCAGCAGCTGGGCAAACACAGAAACAGGAACAAGAACTAGACTTTACAGATCATTTTATTGCAGTTATTAAATGTTTATTCTTTAATTTCTTTTGGCTGATTAGTCCCACCAAAGAACCTGGCCATTTGAAACAAATGTTCTGGTTAAAAATTGTGTTGGGAAAATGTGATTAGCCTATAAAGACACATCAAATTACTACGCCTTGTTTCTAATTTTTATCATTTTTCCTTTATTTAACATTTATTTGGAACCCATACTGGTTAATGAAGAAAAACATAACTGTCTTTCTACTACATAACAGAAAGAATAGGTAAGCTTTAAAAATCATTATGCAAAAGAAACATCAAATATATATAATGGATAATTCAAAATATCTTTTGACTATACGTATTTACATTTAAGAATATTTTATTGGGCAAATCTGAAATGTCACATATTCATTACAGCTCTATGAGAATAAAATAATTATAAAGTACCTAGGGGCAAGAAAAAGAAAATAAAGTTTTATTTTACACGAATAGACAAAAAATCAAATACTATTATATTATTAATTATATTTCTTAAACTTTGGAAAACTTTCATTATTAAAGTATTAGTTATTCCTTACATTATTTTACTAAAAGATGCTACTTCTAATGAGTTAGAGCATGAGCTGTTATTACAAAGTTATTGCACCCAGTAGAATTATTAAATTCCATCAAAGCAAAGGCAAGAAGCTGTTCTAAGGTTCCAGTTTGAATCTAAAAGCTAAAATTTTCAGGAAGTGATAAGGTGAGGTTTCGGTTCCAGAACGCATTAAGTTGTCAGTTCTTTAGTGACATGTGTTTATAGGATAGATGTTAAGTGAAACACTGCCTATACGCCCCATTTCTTAATGGAAAAATCAAGTAAACTTCAGCTATCAAACACATGCAACTTATATCCCAAAGTTAATGCTCAGAAGGCAGCGTGAACATAATGTAGTGTACGTTGCCACGGAAAATTTAAGTTATCTGAAATTCCGTTTGCTAAGGTTAACTGTTTCAACGCTAAGCCCTTTGAATTCTAGCATGAAACATCATTGTAATAAATCCTGTGTTTGCGATACACATTGATTTTAGCTAAAATCCATTTAGAAGTCTATATCCTAAGCAAAGTAATCTTAATTTGCATGAGAAGAGAAGAAATGCTCTAAACTGAAGGCATTTGACTATGACAAAATATCTTTCTTCTTCAATCCACTCTAATCCTAAGAATCTATAATTCCCAGAGTTCATTTAACAATGTTTAATTGCATTTCACCATCTCTGTGGCCATTGCTGAATGGATCTGGCTTCCACTGAGATTTGAAAAAAACAAAAAAGAAATCAAAACATAGTTTATAGAATAAAAATTGTCAAAAAAAAAAAGTCCAGAACTCATAACTTTACCAATGAGGTGAGGGCCTATAATAGTTATTAATGTCCTCTTGCCAGAAATCTGTTCCTTTGCTTCCTTATGGTATTTGCTTCCTTGGCTTACTTTCTGTTGCAGTCTTTTACTTTTACCCTTTTCTTCTTTTTTCTTTTCTTTCTTTTTCTTTTTGGAAACTTTCTAGTCACGATCACTCTTTTCCTTTGTATCTAATGTAGTTTCTACCCTTTTGTTTCTGCACTTTGATTCCTTTCACCTTTAAGTCCTCCCTCATTTTCAATTTTTTTTTGTTTCTTTTTTTTTTTTTTTTTTTTTCTGTCTGACCCTCATTAGCTGATGAGCCATGCTCTTTTCAGTTTCTACACATGGACCTGAACATCTCTGTGAGGCATGCATTAGAGGGATCAGACAGCCTGAGGGACATGAAGTGCAGTCTAGACTGTGAAGGGGTGGCCTGCCCCTCCACACCTGTGGGTATTTCTAGTTGGGTGGGATGAGAGACTGAGAAAAGAAATAAGACACAGAGACAAATTATAGAGAAACAACAGTGGGCCCAGGGGACTGGCGCTCAGCATACCAAGGACCTGCACCGGCACCGGCCTCTGAGTTCTCTGTTTTTATTGATTATTATTTTCATTATAACAGCAAAAAGGAATGTAGTAGGAGAGCAGGGTGATAATAAGAAGGTCAGCAAAAAACATGTGAGCAAAAGAATCTATATCATAATTAGGTTCAAGGGAAGGTACTATGCCTAGATGTGCACGTAGGCCAGATTTATGTTTCTCTCCACCCAAACATCTCAGCGGAGTAAAGAATAACAAAGCATCATTACTGCAAACGTATCTCGCCTCCCACCATAGGGCGGTTTTTCTCCTGTCTCAGAATTGAACAAATGTACAATCGGGTTTTATACCAAGACATTCAGTTCCCAGGGGCAAGCAGGAGACAGTGGCCTTCCTCTATCTCAACTGCAAGAGGCTTTCCTCTTTTATTAATCCACCTCAGCACAGACCCTTTACGCGTGTCGGGCTGGGGGACGGTCAGGTCTTTCCCATCCCACGAGGCCATATTTCAGACTATCACATGGGGAGAAACCTTGGACAATACCCAGCTTTCAAGGGCAGAGGTCCCTGTGGCTTTCTGCAGTGCATTGCGCCCCTGGTTTATTGAGACTAGAGAATGGCGATGACTTTTACCAAGTATACTGCTTGTAAACATTTTGTTAACAAGGCACGTCCTGCACAGCCCTAGATTCCTTAAACCTTGATTTTATACAACACATGTTTTTGTGAGCTCCAGGTTGGGTCAAAGTGGCTGGGGCAAAGTGGCTGGGGCAAAGCTACAAATTAACAACATCTCAGCAAAGCAATTGTTTAAAGTACAGGTCTTTTTCAAAATGGAGTCTCTTACATCTTCCCTTTCTACATAGACACAGTGACAGTCTGATCTCTCATTCTTTTCCCTACAGACTGGAAGTTTGTAGATAAAATGGAGAATTTCTTTAACCATGTCAGAAAACTGAGATTGAGAATAGCTTTTATTCTTGCTGTTATTGATACAAGGAGAAATACAATTACTATCTACAATAGAAAGTTATTTCTACTATTAAGGAAACCCCATTCTACTGCTAACCACTTGTTTTACATTTGTAGTAGGTGTGTGTGTGTCTGTGTAAGAGACAAAAAAAGAGATCCGTGAGGACGAGAATACACAGCAGAGAACTGGACTTCGTATGCAAATATTCCTACTTCCTTCTGCATTGTAATTGACAAGCAATTGTTCAAATTAAAAATTACAGTTATTACTACTATTACTAAAAACACTAGATTTTGAGTTCAATGCCCACCGTTTTGCAATAATATTATCCCTCTTAATTTTGATAACAACACTAGAAGAGGAATTTTGGCTCGGTTAACCAGTTTATGTCTGATAAACTGAGGCTTCAAGAAGCTGGATAGTTTTCCTGAAGTCACACCGATTTTATGTACAAAAAAACCACTTCTGTCTGACTCTGAATTTGAAGATATTTGCTATCTCTTTTTAAAAAATGCTACACACACATGCACACAGTATATATCTACAATATGACAAATCTGAACAATTCTAAATGAAATTTTCTTCTCCTTGAGCTCTCATTGATGACAAATAAGATATGCAACCAGATAAGTCAGGTAAATATTGTATTTAAGTAAACAATTTCCTAAGTAATTGCTATTAGACCAATAAATGGAAACTCTTTTGAATATATCTAGTATATGGTCTCATATATTTGCATTTTTATATCTTTTTATACATTAAGCATTAAAATAGCATGTAAAATGTGCATTGCAGCATTTCTAGTCTAAGTTGGTTAAAGAGCCTCAGGGTCCAGCAATTTTAACTTCTTCTGAGCATGCAATTATCCCTTTAAACTTACATTGATGAAACAGAAAAACTTTAATTTGAATAACATTAATTTGTACTTTCTAACAAATACCATAACTTTCAATTATATTTCATTCAAGCATCACTTGGATTTAATATTCTAGGCCGGGTGCGGTGGCTCACGCCGGTAATCCCAGCAGTTTGGGAGGCCAAGGCAGGCGGATCACCTGAGGTCAGGAGTTCGAGACCAACCTGGCCAACAAGGTGAAACGCCATCTCTACTAAAAATTAAAAAAATTAGCCGGCATGGTGGTGCATGCCTATAATCCCATCTACTCAGGAGGCTGAGGCGAGAATCGCTTGAACTCGGGAGGCAGACGATGCAGTGAGCCAAGATTGCTCCACTGCACTCTAGCCTGGGCGACAGAGCCAGACTCTGTCTCAAAAAAAAGAAATAAAGAAAAAGAAAAAGAAATTTAATATTCTAGCCATGAAAATGGCAAAATTCAAATGCAGAGCAATTAAATTACCTGCTTGGATCTACTGAAAATGAACTTAACATTCAAGAAAGACTGTTATAACTAAATACTACATGTATAAAATTCATTTACCTTCGTACTTTCATAAAGGCAATATTTTTGGTAAAAATGAAGGATTACAGAATAAACCATTAAAATTTGAGAGGTTTTTTTTTCAATTCTGAATTCAGCTTATAGAGTTTGCATTTGGTTTGTAGCTAACTATTGATTAAACTTCACACTAAAAATCTCTATGTGGAAAACACTAGTGAAACACATAGAGTAACTAGCACTGGATTTTTAGATAATTGTATATTAAAGCTTTCTTTTCTTTTTTTAATGATAATTCTTTGCTTTTAGAATTTTTAAGAGACTTTTATTACATGGCTATTAAAAGTGTGATGTTTCTACTAGGAGTTCCATCTCTATCAGAGATGATTTAAGATAGTATTTTATAAGAATTCCAAATATTTCTTTTTTTGCAACTTAAACAATGTACTTTATTTCTTTTTATTATTAATTTATTTATTTTTGTTGTTTATATTATATTTAAGGTGTACAACATGATGTATTGATATCTTGATATACATTTACATAGTAATTACTACAGTTAAGCAAATTCATATACTCATCATCTCACATAGTTTCCTTCCTTCTTTCTTTTTTTTTTTTTGGGGAAGAGGGCCTAAAATCTACTCTCTTGACAAATTACCAGTAGACAATATAATTTTTTAACTATAGTCCTCATGTTGCAAATTAGATCTCTAGACATATTCATGCTACATAACTGCAACTTCAACTTTGTACCCTTTAACCTACGTCTTCTAATTTCCCTGTTCTTCCCCCAATTCCTGGTATCTACCAGTTTCCTCTCTATTTCTGTGTATTCCCTATTCTTTTAAATTTAAGATTCTACATACAGGTGAGATAGTGCAGTAGTTTTCTTTCTGCATCTGGGTTATTTAACTTAGCCTACTGTCCTCTAGGGTCATCCATGTTGTCACAAGTGGCAGGATCTCCTTCATCTTTAAGACTGAATAATATTCTACTGTGTATATATTCCACAATTTGTTTATTCATTCTTTTGTCCACAAGTACTTTAGTTGTTTAAATATCTTAGCTATTGTGAATAATACTTCAATGAGCATGGGAATGCACATATCTTTACTCGGTGTTGATTTTATTTCTTTGGGTATATACCCAGAAGAAGCGTTCCTCGGTCATATGGTAGTCTATTATTAATTTCTTTAAGAGCTTCCATACTATTTTCCACAGTGGTTGCACTGATCTACATTTCCACCAACAGTGTAATAAGGGTTCCATTTCTCCACACCCATACCAACACTTGTTATTTCTTGTCTTTTTGATAAAATCTTTTGTAACAAGTGTGAGATGACAACTTATTGTGGCTTTTATTTGCACTTCCATGATAATTAGTAATATCGAGCAGTTTTTCATATAACTACTGGCCTTTGTATGTCTTCTTTGGAAAAATGTCTATTCATATTTTTTGCCCAGTTTTTAATTGGGCTTTTGGATTTTTTGCTATTGTTTTGTGTGAGTTCCTTATTTATTTTGGATAGTAAACCCTTATCAGATATATAATTCACAAATATTTTCTCCCAACCTGTAGACTGCTTTTTTATTTTATTGATTATTTCCTTTATAGTGCAGAAGCCTTGGAGCTTGATGTAGACCCACTTACTCATTTTTGCTTTTGTTGCCTGTGCTTGTGATGTCAAATCCAAAAAATTTTGCCAAGACCCATGTCAGGGAGCTTTTCCTCTACGTTTTCTTCTGGAAGTTTTATAGTTTCAGGGTTTACATTTAGATCTTTAATCCATTTTGAGGTAATTTCTTGTGAATGATGTAATTAAAAGTCTAATTTCATTCTTTTGCATGTAAATGTTCAAGTTTTCCAACACTATTTATTGAACAGCTATCTTTTCCCATGGTATTTTCTTGGTGCCCATGTTAACAATTAGTTGACCATATATACTTGGGTTTATTTGTAGATTTTCTGTTCTGTTCTATTGGTCTATGTATCTGTTTTTATGCCAACCCCAGACTTCTAAAAGTTTTTTTTTTTAATTATTTTATTTTTTTCTTGTTTAAATTTGAGGGTACATGCGCAGGATGTGCAGGTTTGTTACATAGGTAAACATGTGCCTCGTTGGTTTGCTGCACCTAACAACCCATCACCTAGGTATTAAGCCCAGCATGCACTAGCTCTTTTCCCTAATGATCTTTCCCCTCTCCCACCCTCCCGCAGCAGGCTGCAGTAACTGTTGTTCCCCTCCCTGTGCCCATGTGTTCTCGTTGTTCAGCTTCCACTTATAACTGAGAACATGCAGTGTTTGGCTTTCTATTCCTGCATTAATTTACTGAAGATAATGGCTTCCAACTTCATCCATGTCCCTGCAAAAGGCATTATCTCATTTCTTTTTATGACTGCATAATATTCCATGGTGTATATGCACGACATTTTCTTTATCCAGTCTGTTATTGATGGACATTTCAGTTGATTCCATGTCTTTGCTATTATGAATAGTGCTGCAGTGAACATATGCTTGCATGTATCTTTATAATAGAATGATTCATATTCCTTTGGGTATAAACCCAGTAGTGCAGTTGCTGGGTCAAATGGTATTTCCATTTCTAAATCACCACATTGTCTTCCACAATTGTTGAACTAATTTACATTCCCATCAACAGTGTAAAAACGTTCCTATTTCTCTGCAACCTTGCCAACATCTGTTGTTTCTTGACTTTTTAATAATCACCATTCTGACTGGCATGAGATGTTATTTCATTGTGATTTTGATTTGCATTTCTCTAAAGATCAGGGATGTTGGGCTTTTTTAATATATGTTTGTTGGCTGCATGTATGTGTTTTTTGAAAAGCTTCTGTTCATATCCTTTGCCCACCTTTTAATAGGGTTGTTTGTTTTTTCCTCATAAATTTGTTTAAGTTCCTTGCAGATTCTGGATATTAGATCTTTGTCAGATGAATAGATTGAAAAATTTTTCTCCCAGTCTGTAGATTGTCAGTTTGCTCTGATGATCATTTTGTTTGCTGTGCAGAAGCTCTTTAGTGTAATTAGATCCCATTTGTCAATTTTTCTTTTTGTTGCCATTGTTTTTGGTGATTTCATCATAAAATCTTTGCCTGTGTCTATGTCCTGAATGGTATTGCCTAGATTTTCTTCTAGGTTTTTTTCTAGTTTGAGGTTTGCTATTTAAGTCTTGAAGATAGCTTCAGTTAATTTTTGTACAAGGTGTAAGGAAGAGATCCAGTTTCAATCTTCTGCGTACGGCTACCAGTTCTCCCAGCACCATTTATTGAATAGGGACTCTTTTCCCCATTGTTTGCTTTTGTCAGGATCATTACTTTATATTTTCCACAATACTCACAATTCCAAAATTTAATGTCTCATTTAGAAAATATTTGCATAGATTTCAGTGGAAGTAGAATAAGGATATGATATTCAACTGTAATTTTTCATAAATATTGATAAGATGGAGTCTGCCTTAAAGCCCAGATAAAAATTCTTAATTTGATTTTCACATAATTTATGGTTTCAGTTTTTTAAAGTACTTCTACACACTATAATAAAAATTTTAAAAGAAAAATAGGAGAGGTGCAAGAGGAGTAAAAATCATCACCATTTTTAGATGATAGAGTTTTTTATATGGGAAGATCTAAAAGAATCAACTAATAAACTGGAAGAGTTTAGTAAGATGACTGTAGAAAAAATATTAGAAAATATATTGACAGCAAATTTCATAAACAAAAGCAATAGTAATGAAATTAAAAAATACACAAAAATGTAAAATAAATTTTTTTACAGTTTTGAATAAATGGTGGGAATATGCATTGATACTATATCTATGAAGAGGAATTTATCAAAATGTAAACTGCATACCCTTTGACTCACTAACTGTACTTCAAGGTGTTTACCCTGAAAACATATTTGTGCATAACTCAGATATATGTGTACAAGATTATTTCTGCGGCATTATTTATATTAGTGAGGGGAAAAGGACCTGTAAACAACATTAATGTTTTTCAAAACTAGGTTTAATAAAATATGAACATCCATAGAAAGGAAGACTATATACATCTATTAAAAAGAATAAGGTAGATTTGTTATTCTAATTTAGAAAATTCTCCAAGAGATAAAGCAAATGACAGAACAGTTTATATGTATTATCTCACAGGTATAAAATAAGATGTATCCATATGCTTGTATATATGCCTGGAAAAATTCTGGAAGGGTACACAAGGTAACTCCTGGGGAGTAGATGAAACTTGAGAGAGAGATGGGCACATTTTTCATAGTACTGCTTAAAAATTTTTATTACATGCATTGTTATTTTCAGAGAGATTAAAAAAAAATGTTGGCCAAGGTGGGCAGATCAACTGAGGTCAGGAGTTTGAGACCTGTCTGGCTAACATGGCAAAACCTCATCTCTACTAAAAATACAAAAATTAGCTGGCTGTGGTGGTACGTGCCTGTAATCCCAGATACTCGGGAGGCTGAGGCAGGAGAATTGCTTGAACCCGGGAGACAAAGGTTGCAGTGAGCCAAGATCTCGCCACTGCATTCCAGCCTAGGCAACAGAATGAGACTCCATCTCAAAAAAAAAAATAAAGTTAAGCACTGAAGCAAATATTATTCATTTTGCAAAAAGATGAAATGCCTTCATGACACTATTGCATTAGATTAGTGATCAAAATAAATATTAAATTTATCCAATGAGGATGTCCAGTATAAATAAATTATGCCAAGAAATCGTCCATGGGTTCTAAATTTTGTTGGCTGCATGACTATAGCAAACACATTAAAAGCATAATTAGCAAAACACTATCTCAAATTGCAATTTAAAAAAAGACAGAGGACTGCATCACAAACAAACGTGTATCATCTTTAAATTATAAAAAGGCTTTAGGAGACACTGGTATATAACATAGTTTAATGTCTTAAAAATGTCTTTTACATAGCATTTTAATGTATTTCTTTTATTACTTTTTAATAAATTGTTATTCACTCAAGACTCATGAGTTGCGAACTACTATGATTCTCATGCGCCCCAAATTTTATGAGTCCACTATTTGGTAGACCATCATCATAAGGCTGTATTCACACAGCTATTATCAGTACTTACTCTCCTGTATAGCTATTGTGCTAGTGAGAAAGTAAATGCCTAAAAATGACAGTGGTGCACTGTACATTGGAATGTAGTTGGTCAGCCAAAACATATGCTCTAAATTTGTCTAGATAAAAATGCGTTATTCTTCCTGTGCTATACTGCAAGCTAATTAATAATGAGACATTTCAGTGACTTGGAATCAGATATAGTTGACACTCTTCTAGTGATGTGGCATTGTAATAGCTTATTTATTGGAGGTAGTAATAAAGGCTATATAACAAAGCATAAACTGTTTTTCAGCTTGAGCTTAACCTATTTCTGATAAAGCTATGCAAAATTTTGTATGTGTTTTCCTTATTTACTCAAAAGACCCCATAAGATGCAATTATCTCAATTTTAGAGGAATGTTAAAGACAGATGATTATCTAATAATCTGGAGAATGCCCATAAAAAGGTAAAGAATATCTAGGTACCTTTAACATCTTATGAATGAGGTTCCTATAAAGGTAATTTTTTTCATATGAAATTTTTACTTGAACTGATCATTTGTACAGAAATTGCTCAATAAGATTTTGAAGAACAATCATTGCCATGAATTGAAACATTCGAATTGGATTTTTTAAAGCCCATGATTGTATTACGTGAATTTACTATAAAATAGTTAGAAAAAAAATTTTCAGAGCGATACAAACAGTAGACTCATGTATTTCAGAAAACCTGCCAAGCAAGGTAAATTATCTTTGATGTAAAAGCTATCTTACCCATAATTCTTCACATTTGCCTATAACATAAAAAATGATTTCTTAATGGGCTAGGTAAATCTGAGTAGAATATATATTACTTGTAGTTGACAATTTTGAGGTGCTACTTCTTTCCCAGAACTATTCTCTTTTCTCAGATTGTAAATATGTTTATTTTGCTTATGTGTATCTTTGCCACTTGCATGCCTAGAATTTCTCAATAGTAACCTTAAAACATTTTTATTTAAAATGATTTATACATACCGTGTTATAAGCACATATGCAGATCAGATTTGCCTATCCCCTTTTAGCGTGATGCATGCTGGGACCACATAATCATAGGCTGGCAAAGAGAGAGCAAAATCTGGAACTGGGAGAAGCAGTTATAACAATTGCCCATAGGCTGGGTATCTGCGAAGTCTCAGGCAAAATGCCAGCAGATGGCAATCTTAAGCAAGGCTTAGGTGGATTTTTTTAAGAGGCTGCAGTAGCAGGGAGTTTAATCTGACCAAAAGAGAAGAATTATGTGGGAGAAAATGCAGTAAGACTTCCACAAATTCCTTCTTTGGCAGAACACCGGCCTGTTACCAGAAGTTCAGGATATAATGGCCTACGTCTCCCCAAAAGGGACTTACAAGCATTCAGGAGGGTTTAAGGATATAAGAAAAGTGGTACAAAAACAGACATATAGACCAATGTAACAGAATACAGAACCCAGAAATAAGACCACACACCTATAGCTATCTGATCTTCAACAAACCTGACAAAATCAAGCAATGGGGAAGGGATTCCCTATTTAATAAATGGTGCTGGGACAGCTGACTAGCCATATACAGAAGATTGAAACTGGACCCCCTTCCTTACACCATATACAAAAATCAACTCAAGATGTATTAAAGACTTAAATTTAAAACCCAAAACTATAAAAACCCTGGAAGACAACATAGGCAATACCATTCAGGACATAGGAACAGGCAAAGATTTCATGACAAGGATGCCAAAAGCAACTGCAAAAAAGGAAAAATTGACAAATGGGATCTAATTAAACTAAAGATCTTCTGCACAGCAAAAGAGACTATCAACAGAGTAAACAGACAACCTACAAATGGGAGAAAATTTTTGCAAACTATGCATCTGGCAAGGGTGTAATATTCAGCATCTATAAGAAACTTAAACAAATTTACAAGGAAAAAAAAACATTAAAACGTGGCCAAAGGACATGAACAGACACTTTTCAAAAGAAGACATACATGCAGCCAACAATCCTATGAAAAAAAAAGCTCAACATCACTAATCATTAGAGAAGTGCAAATCAAAACGGCAATGAGATATCATCTTGCACCAGTCAGAATGGCTATTATTAAAAGTCAAAAAATGACAGATGCTGGCAAGGTTGTGAAGAAAAAGAAACACTCATACACTGTTGGTGGGAGCATAAATTAGTTCAACCATTGTGACAGTGTGGCGATTCCTCAAAGATCAAAAGACAGAAATACCATTCAAGTCAACAATCCATTACTGAGTATATACCCAAAGGAATATAAACCATTCTATTATAAAGACACATGCACACATATGCTCATTGCAGCACTATTTGCAATAGCAAAGACATGGAGTCAACCCAAATGCCCATCAATGATAGGCTGGATACAGAAAATGTGGTACATATACACCATGAAATACTATACAGCCATAAAAAAGAATGCAGTCATGTCTTTCACAGGAATGTGGATGAAACTGGAGGCAATTATCCTTAGCAAACTAATGCAGGAGCAGAAAAACAAATACTACACATTAATTAGGAGCTAAATGATGAGAACACATGGACACGTAGAGGGAAACAACACACACTAGAGCCTATTGGAGGGTGGAGGGTGGGAGGAGGGAGAGGATTAGGAAAAATAACTAATGGTTACTAGGCTTAATATCTGGGCGATGAAATAATCTGTACAACAAACATCCATGACACAAGTTTACCTATATAACAAACCTGCACATGTACCCCAGAATTTAAAATAAAAGTTTAAAAAGGAGTTTACTGCAAACATCTGAATGAATCTCATTAACATAACATTGAGTGAAAGAAATTAGACACAAATGACTCCACACTGTATAATTCTAGATGTGTAGAGGACAAAAGCAAGCAAACTAATCAATGCTATTAGCATTGGGGGAATAGTGAATGGAAGGATGCACAGGAGAGGTTTCAGAGACTGGTGATATATTGAGTCTTAATTTGGTGCTGGTTACTCAGATGTGTTAAAATTGTGAAAATTAATATATGATATGAATTTTTCTGAATGTTATATGTCAAAAATGACATTTTAATTTTATTTTTTATTTTTCAATAGTCTTAATTTTCGATTGACAAATGATAATTGTATGTATTACATATTTCTGGAGTACTATCCGGTGTTTTGATACATGTTTACATGGTAGATGTTTAAATCAATCTAATGGACAAATTTAAAAAAAGAATGAAATCATGTCCCTTACAGCAACATGGTTATGGCTAGAGGCCATTATCCTAAGTGACCTAATGCAAGAACAGAAAACCAAATACCACATGTTCTTACTTATACGTAGAGCTAAACATTCTGTACATACGGACATAAAGACAGGAGCAATAGACACTGGGCGCTGGGGACTACTAAGAGCGGGAGGATTGTAGGGTCTTGAAGCCTGAAAAACTGCCTCTTGGGTACTATGTTCACTATATGGGTGCTGAGATCATTTGTACACCAAACTTCAGTGACACACAATTTACCAATATAACAAACCTGCACATATGTCCTTTGAACCGAAAATAAAAGTTGGGAAAAAAAGGCGGGAGGTGAGGGGTCGGGGTGAAAAGGATAGCAGAAGAGTATGTTGCAATCCAGGAGAGTGTCAGTGTTAATTGGAAAGCGAGATATTTACCCAGATAACTGAAAAGACTTTCATATGAAGCTTTTTCCACCACTCTCTTTGCAGCTTCACCAGCCCAACATGGCAAGACAGAAATTGCAACAGCTCAGCGGTTTCGTGGGCCCAAGAACCTACATATCATGCCAGATTATAGATCTAGCTGGCGACACAATGTGATTCCAAGTCCTAGCGAATCGTGATAACAGAGTGCTGGTATACCTCCTGCTCTGAGCAGGGTTGAGTCTAGATCACAGTTATGCCTATCAATTAATGCTGCCTTGGGAAGCTGGGAAAAGCAAGGGTCAAGGAATTGAAGAAATTGCAAATGCCCCGATGCTCACAGAGTAAAGTTGAAACTTTCAGTCTGGAATTCGGGGCCTGATCAAATGTGGCTACAAGCTCATCTTTTCAAGATTGTCTTGTACTACTTTATTTCTTCCACCTACAATCTGACTAGTAAATTTCATGCCTTAAAAAAGCATGCCTTTTTTAAAAAACAATAATGAGGTTTTTATTTTAAAATTCAATTAAAAATATTTTCATACGTTTTTGGTAGGATAAATTGGTATGCATGGATCTGTAGTCCCAAGCATGACTTTTTATACCTTAGTATCTCCTGTGCTTTTGGGGGGCATTATTCTATGTCTGCAGTGTCCTCCCTCACTTTCCCATCCCTCTAGTCACATACTCAAATCAAATATATCTTTGAAGGCCCTGCTCAAAATTAACAGCCATTTTCCCTAGATCTTTCACTGCACACCACTTTAGGATATAGTCTTTTCTTTATTCTTTATGACTCATTACTTCCTGCCTTGTAGCAGGGCCGTTGATTTAATAGGGCAGTTGACGGTAGAAGCCATTTCTGAGTAAATTGATATTCACAAAAGCACCAAGACAAGTGCATTTATCTGGAGTCATCGTGCAGTAAACAAATCCTCCTTGTGTTTTGGGGAACTCCACTGAAAATACAGACTATGCCTTCAAGATGAAAAAAAAAAAGTTACTAGTCGCCAGGGGTTAATTAAAGGGACATTGTCAATGGTGGTAGATTTCAGACAGTCCTGCTCATTTTTTTACAACTATTTGCCATGTTGTTGTACATTTTGATTTTCTCTCAAATGTGTATTTCTCTCAGTGGAGAACAGATCCTCCTGGGCCTTTAAAAATGATTTAATTCTTAATAGCAAAAGCTCAGCAATCTTGAACAGCTCTGTAACACAAACCATAGCATATGGGTCAGGATTGAAAACACTGCAGTGAGGGCTCAGAATTCTAGAGAAGTATCATTTGGCATGGAGGAATGCTATAAAATGAGGATCATTGTATGTGTTAGTAACATCCCTTTTGAGGGTCTATTTTACTCCTTCAGGAGTAGGGTGTTCCTTTAAGAAATAAAGGAGTTATTGCAAGTCAAGCAATAACAATGCTGTGATTTTATAGGAGGTAATAAATCTAAACTTATACTGTTAGTATCCAAATTTAACAGCTAGGACTGTAATGGGAATTGCCTTTGTTGCCTTGGAACTCTATTTAAATGATGATTTATACAGACATTTGGGGCATATAAATTCAAGGAGGTCATGCATATTGACTGAATAGCATCAGCCTGACCCATAGAAAAGACTCCCTTGGTCCTGCGAGAACTGAAACCATCAGAACATTTTTAAAACATAGCATACCTTCTGGAAGCTTTGTGTTGAGCCTTGGGGTCAGATTTCACTTGGATTTGGATGTCCAGGTTATAAGACCCTAAACACTTTTATCCTTAGAACCATGTCTTTACTAGTGTTTGTCATGAAGCTTAAACAGATTCTGTGATTAAACTAATGAAAATGATATTTTATAGCATTGTTCTAAAGCTGAGTGATATTTCTTCTAATAAACTCATTCTCTTCAAAACAAAAAAATAAAACATAGCAGACCAATTCTCAGCTTCAAATGACTTCCAGAAAATCCCAGGTAAACACAATATGGGGGGGAAATGGGATGTGGGTGTTTTATGTATGTATTATTTAGCAGCACCAGGAATAAGAGAGTTTTATTTAAGAATAAATGCATTTGTCACTCCAGGATGCAAAGGGTTATAATTTTTCACAACTTATTTCATCTTTTAAATTTAAATATATTTCGGAAGTAAGAGGATAAGAAAATTTTCAAAGAGGAAGTGGTCATTACATCACGGAACACAAAGAATACATTTACCACTAGGCAGTTTGATTGCTACCCAACAAATATTCTGTCACTGGTAAACTGAAAATGTTCCAATTTAGGAACTGAACTTGCTATTTTACAGGAACCATACCCACTGATGAAAGATTATACACCTTAGATCTCTTGGTTATTTTGAAATTTTTGAATCTTCCCACATCCATTTGCTTTATCTATTCTGTATGAAGGATTATAACAACATAATTTCAGCTACAAAGAATAGCACTGAAAAGAAAGAAAAACTCCAAAGAGATAAGCACAGTTTCAATATCCTGGTGCAATATAATCATTGTAGAGGATATAGAAAAAGAGGAATTAGAATAAGGAATTGAAACACATTTTGTAAGTAGACAGAAATGGGAAAGTGGCTATAAGGCTTGTGTAATCAAGAGAGACTTTTGAAGATGTAAGAAATTATAAGCTGATGTGAATAATCCAACCAAAAAAAATTTTATGCTGCAGAAAAAGGGGGAAAATTATTGTAGCAAATCCTTAAGTATGCAAAAGGGCATGTGCTCTGTTGCACAAGTTTGAGGTTGGCTTTAGGTTAGGTGTGCAAAGACAACACATCCAGAGAACAAGAAGAAGCAAGAAAGTATTGGCACAACATAAAAGTAGGTAGATATTGTGGTGGCAGCCCATGGTGGTCTTTTGTTTTTTATACCACAGAAATAAAAATTATCAGGTGAGAGTGAGGATGGAAAAGGGAGGTTTGGGAAGTCTGAGAAGATAAAAATGTAAGAGACAGCCTCTGAGGTATCTATCTGCCAATGATCCCTGCCTCCTGATGTTCATGTGTTTCAATACCCCTTTCCCTTGAGTGAGGGCAGGACCTAGTGACACTTCTCATAAATAGAATATGGCAAAAATAAGGGGATGTCACTTCTAAAATTAGGTTATAAAAGAACCATAACTTCAATTTCTCTATTCCTCTCCCCTTCCCTGTGTTCTTCTCTCTCACTCTGTTTCTCTTCCCCCTTACACTTACTTAAAGATCTCATAACAAGCTGTCATGTTATAAGCTGCTCTTGAAGGATTGCGCATGGCAAGAAACCAATGTCTTTCACCAAAAGCCAGTGAAGCCTGTGAACAATCATGAGCTTAGAAATAGATCATCCCCACTGAAGCCTCAGAAGACTGCAGCCCTGGCCAACACATTGAAACATTGTGAGATACAGTCAGCTAAACTTCCCTCCGATTTTTGACCATGATAACCTGCAACATAATTAATGTTTGTTGCTTTATACTGCTAGATATTTGGGTAATTTTTTACACATCAATAGATAACTAAATTAAAGGACCACAGTAAATTGATGGTGATGAATTTTAAGTAAAACTGTATGAATGCGTGTTTATCTCCACTTATAGAGAGAGATATTTAACTAAGGTTGGGGTTTTGCCACATAAGTATGACAAAATGAGGGGGCAAAGTAGTTGAAGTGTTTGCAAGGAAATGATTATAATAGTTGATCATGGAAGTTAATTTGGACAAGGGGGTAACTGAGGATATGAGAACAGAGAGGAAAAACAAAAAGATAAAAAGACAGATTGTAATCCTGGTGGGGTTAAAGAACGTTTGGTTCAAAGCCCTAGAGGAAGTGAGCTAGAAAGACAGATTGTGGTGGTCGCAAACCAGAAAATTTGAGATTGAGATTATTCAGGCTTTGTGTTGGCAATGACAAAGCCTACAGAGGCCAGTATAGAATAGATGAATGTAAAATCACCAAGTCATAATAGAAATGAGTCAAATATGGAAAGAATGAGTTAAGAATAAAAATCTTCAAGAAATTGGAGAGTAACCCAGTTGCTGGTTGATAACTGCAACAATAATGGGTAGGGGAAATGCAATCTGATGGCATTAGATCAAAAACTGCATTTTTCCAGGAGTCCGGAAGAGATTCACCATCCAAAAAGTGTCATGAAGGATTTTACTAAATATATTAACAATTATTCAAAAATGTTATCACTGGATCATTTGGAACAAAAATACTGAGTAGTTTTCAATCTGCCCAATTTCCTCCAGGAAACTCTCCCTTAATGCTCAAATTCAGGATAATTAGCCTCAATGAGCACCTCATACCTTCCCCATTAGAACATTTATCAAAATACTCGGTGATTATTTTGTTGTCTGTGCCCCTGATTAATTCTCTTATACATCTTAGCACTGTAATGACTATGGGTGTTGCATTCCAGTTCTACCCAGTGTGACAACATACTAAGACATTCTTTAATGTACTGACAACATATTAAGTCATTCCTAAAGTTGTTGAATACAGAAACATAACTGATTTTCTGAAATCATTTTAAAAGAGAACATATAATGTAGTTGTATATTATTGAGATCTATGTCACGTACCATTCTACAACCTCTACACATAATGATTCATTTAAACCTAACAATCTCTATGAGACTAGTAACACTACTTATCTTATTATTCTAGATCAAAGAACAAAGAGGTGGAAATGCTTGTTCAATATCACATAGTGAGAAACTGGGAGAGCTAGGACTCAAATCCAGATAGTCAGACTGGAATCATTTCATCATCCACTCATTAAGGTAAAAACACATGACGGTGAAAAAGGTTCTTTAACATGGTCCAACACACACCATTTTGATCTCATTGGAGAACAAAGCTATTAATAATAGTAAGAGAACGGAAAAGAGATAGTAGAAACACTTCACTGATTTCATAGTGTTTCAACTATCAATGATGAGGATTTATATAACTCAAACAACCTCAGTGATGCATGAAGAGGTGAAACACTGAATAGAAATATCAACATTTCTAGCATCATAAATCACTAAAAATGAGTTCACAGGCTTGAAGCAGTCTTTTAAAATATTTCTAAAATTGATTATTTAAACAAGGTAGGGAACACAAATGAGCTGGATATGCCTGGTGATATTTGACTATCCTTGAACATAATTCTGAGGGAGATTAAGTTAAGATGAAATAAAAGCTAGTTTTATTCATAATCAAATAAAAAGGCTATCATCCTAAAATAGTATTTATATTAGATTCTCAGCAAAATGAATTAACGCTTTAAATATTATTTTTAAATCTAACATTTTACTTATCCTTTTAAAAGGCCAGATATGTCTGAAAGTAGAAATTCTGCATCTCATCAGAAAGATGTAATAATTCAAGTTGTTTTTATATCCTGTAAGTCGCACGTAATTGTCATTTTCTCTCATTCTCACATTGTCATCTAAGACTTTATGAAGACTGCAGTTGTTTAATGATATGAAAAGAGGATGGTTTGAATTATTCTAATTTCTCTCCCTCTTATTCAGAGATTCCAAGAAGGATATGAGGAACAAAATTATCAGGGATTGTGGTGTCATTAAGATATCTGATAAAACTGCACTGCAGTTTACTACTCCACAAGACCCACATTTAAGAGATTATTGGAATGAAATTGTATAAGGGAGAATGGTTTAAAAATGCTTAACATTCCTGGGGGCATATGAACATACCCAAAGAAGAAGGTGGAAAGTGCAGACTACTCTTAAGATCCTTGATGCTTTGTATGAAAAATATCTGGTCATACCATTATTAAGCTGCTTTACTACAGTACTAAAATGAGTGATTTATGCATTTAAATTTATAGGTAAAAAACTGAGCAACCACTAGTAAATTAAAGAAGTAAAGTTGTATGTTTACTTGTAGAATATTTTCACAATTTTTAGAATCCTAGATTATTTGGGAAAAGCATGATTCCTCACTCAAAAAACACACCAATAGTGGATGGTGTAAATATTAAAAATAATGAGAGTTTTATAATACATTCATAAAATAAGAAAGAATAATATTATTACATCTGGCAGTTGAAAAATATTGTAACAATGATATTGATAAAGATAGTATATTTCAATTTAGGTACACATTACTTAAGCCTAGACACAGATACTATTTTCAGTATTGAAAATATCCTTGAATGGTTTCATTTCCCTAGTAGTCCCTTAGAATACTTCAGTACATTCCGCAGCAGCCTTAGCATAACATATAATCATTCTCCTTTGACATTTTTGTCTGAGAGAACAAAGGACAAGTCATATGAAAATATGGATGACATAAGCAAGACTTCTTGTATATGTATATGTATACATGTGTGTGCTTTATACACAGATGCATATGTATACAGAAGTAAATGCACACATGCTTATTATATAAGTTCTTTTCATATATATATGGCTATAAATAAACATGTAATTTAATTAGAAGTAGAAGGAATAGATAAATAGATGAAAAAATTGAAGGGAGATTCAGGAAGCAAGAATATGTTTGAAAATATTACCAGCAGAAAAAGATGAGAAGTTACACAATTGTATCTGTTCTGAAGGTGAGAAGTGTATAGTAATAGAGTGATAATAAATTTTAGAAACATTTTATTTAGTGATTCATAACTGATAACAGATCTTACTGAAATTTTTTCAGTGCATACCTGCCCACGTCCTATGCTAAAGCTACCATATTAGGATTCCCAGAGTGAGGCTCAAGGAGGAATGGGATATGCAGTTTTGGTTAAGAGTCTCACACCATGCAGCTTCCTCATTTATACCCAAGAAAGCTAATTCTAAGTATTAGCAAAAAATGTATTTAGTAGTAAAATACAAAAAGTTAGAAATATTTTTATTATTGCCTGAATGAATATATTTTTATATTACTTTCTCATCAGATCACCATAATGTTGCATATTAATTATTTTTCTAACCAAGTGAAAAAACTCACAAATAACTGAGAAAGCATCAAGGTAATATATAATATCTCCATTGTTCTACAAACCCCACAAAAAGAATATAGTGCTGAGTAGAAATGAAGTCTTAATATGATCTGTTTTTCTTTCTGTAACAAGATTTGAAAGCAGGCTCTCCTTTGACTTGGTAATTAATTTTTCTCACAACTGCAGACTGAATCTAGACATTTCTCTCCAAATTTCTCTTGTTTTTAAAACATTATAAACCTGTATTTACCTCTAAAATTAAATTCTGGTGTCCTTGGCAAAAACATAATTATACTATGGCTCCTGTGTGTATGTGTTTACTGAAGTCACTCCAACACATAGTGGTAAAGGCTGATGGCATAGAGTTGCACAAATCAGCCATCATCTGCTAATTCATAAACTCATATGAACATCCTGCCCCTTGTCACTGTTCCTCTATGTGGAAAATAGCCATGTTCTCACTAGTCACTCTTCCATAAACATGCATCTACTCAGGGAGTATAGTTTACTCAGACACACTATTTTCACTATGTGTTTCCCAAATGAATCATCAGCAAGAAACATATTGTTGAATGACACCTGCTTCTGTCTCATATGGCTTTTTGAAGATGTGTGACCCCCATTTTGCTTCCAGCACTGTTACTGTATACCTTAACTGCCATCATGGCTCACAACATGACCCCACTTTTTTTTTTGAGATAGAGTCTCACTCTGTGCTGTGGCATGATCTCGGCTCACTGCAACCTCCACCTCCCAGGTTCAATCAATTCTCCTGCCTCAGGCTCCCGAGTAGTTGGGATTACAGGCATGTGCCACTAGGCCTGACTAATTTTTGTATTTTTAATAGAGACGGGGTTTCTCCATGTTGGCCAGGCTGGTCTCAAACTCCTGACCTCAGTGATCCACCTGCCTCGGCCTCCAAAATGCTGGGATTATAGGCATGAGCCACCTTGCCTGGCCAACCCCAATTTTTAATGATGATTCCAAAGTATAAGGTAAGGTGAAAAAAATGACTCATAAAATCCATTTGTCTTTGGGTGAATCCAAATTGACCTTCAAATAGTGTTCATGAAATATATTATTCTTAGCACATCATTTCCTCTATGTGTTGGTAGAAAAATAATAAAATTTGTGAGAAAAAATCCATTCAGGCATTTATATTACCAGGGCTAATCATGTCTTTTTTTTAGGTTGATCAGCTTAAAAATATATTCCCCAAAATAAGCTGTAACCGTTTGCTCATGTCTTGTCACTACAGTCTTTGAAGAGAAAATACAAGTATGGTTTGGCAACCTAATTTTTGTAGCAATACCCTTTCTTGCTAAATATGTGTTTAGACTCCATCAATTCTAATCCCAATGGTAATTTTTTCAAGTCTACATCACAATTTATTACATTGTTTTTCTGTAACATGCAAAGAGCAGTCACAAAGTTCTTTTCCTTCATATGCCAGGAACTAAATCATATTTTGCACATTACTAATTTTGTGCAACTTAGATGTAAAACATCTAACTAGAAGATGTGATTACACAGACATATGCTATCTAACTAGCCAGAAGTTCATTTTACTTTCTCTCTAAAAAGAAATGCCATTTTATTTATTGGTAGCTATATTTGTAATCTTCTTGAAAATATGTTTATAATCTTCTTGAAAATATGTTTATAATCTTCTTGAAAATAGTATAACTTGTAACTGTGTTTATGCAAAGAGTTAAACTTTGAATGATGCCAGAAGAGCTTAGGTCTAAGACAGAAAACATAGATTTTGCACTTGCTCTGGGAGAAAAGTTAATTCGAGTTTACCAAAAAATTCACTGAGTTTTCTAATGCAAAGTGTTAATGACTTATGAGACTTTCTTTGTAACTAAGTTTTATACAACGTTCTCAGGACTCAAGACAAGTAGATTGCCTGTTAATAAAATCTAATATGCAAGCATGTGTGATTTTATTAAGTACTTTATCTTTTCCTTTTTGATGTTTTTGCAAAAAATAACATACTAGAACATTCACATTGCATGTGATTCTAAAGAAAGAGTCACATCTAAGTTTGCAAGAGGTCTGTTCATTACTTACAGTATAAAAATTATTCTGAGTTGTAGTATTTAGAATACAATTTGCATTCATTCTTTGGTGCTTTAAGGATTCCTTTTGAGCCATTTTGACATGTTTGTGAATCATGGCTATAGTGTTAGCACAATAGTATGACAAAACACTAAAAAATTGGCAAACAAAAACATTGATATACAAAGAATATGAAAATACATTAGCCAACTTCAACCCAGCTAACATATTATCTCATGTAAAAAAAATTAATGCATAGCCACTGTTTGAAAATAATTTAAAATATTTAAGAATTTCTGTGAAATTATACGTAATTTTATATTTCAAATTTTAAATGAATGTTTAACATGTTTAATGATTGTTTTTTCTCTGAAACCAGCATATTGGGTTAGGATTCCTCAAATATTTCCAGGGGCACTAAGTGTCCAGCACACTTTGAGAAATGCAACTCTGACATATGGTCAAGTTCTTTTGACCATTTATTATTCTGAAAACTAACACTTTTGGTGGTCATGTTTTTTCACAGTTACCTGGGGGATGTGCACTTGTATCTTTTGGGGTTTTTTTTTATTTTATAGACCTTTATGTTTGCTTTTTAAATATGTGCATAGAGCTCCAGATCAGCAAACACCATTCCTTTTAAATATTTTATAAATGTCATGCAATTTACTCTGTGCAGTGATAATCCCTTCTTTGACAGCAAATGTAAAAGTTATAGAAATGTTGGTATTGATTACTCTGGGATTATTAGTTAGGTTTAATCCAAGTATTTGTAACACCTTTAAGCATTTTACATTCTGAATTGTGAAAGGAAAAAGCAGAAGCCAATATCCCTCTGAAGCCACTCCCCAAAGAGTATTTCACTGTTTGAGCAGAAAACCATTATGCAATACTAAATTTTTGATGAATTTGTTATATATTGCCAACCATTCAGTATTCTTTAAAAATCTCACAAGATACTTTAAAAATAATGCACGTTCAGGCACTTTGCTCTTTTTCAATTCTAAAGAAATAATTAGTTTCCTCCCAGGTCCACATGTATTTATTCTGTTTCTGGACATGAGGGATCTTTGAGCAGACACTGTAAGTTCACCTTATCTTTGCCCAAACTCCTTTCCTAAAGCCGTGGCAACAAGCAGAAAAATCTGAGGATGACAGCAAACCAGAAGCATCAAAAAATATGAGAAAAAAGGACTGAAAATAATTTGACATTTTAATATATTTTTACTAAAATTATTATCTTGAAGAAATCAGAACTCAGACTTTCTTACACACACTTTACAGTTTAGTAACGTTTTTGCATGAGACTAAGTGTAGAGGAGACACTATTCTGTCTCTTTAAAGTACATAGGGCCTCTGGGCTCTATCCATCCCTGTACCCTTCTCAGCATCATCACCACTCAGATGGTCTCTCAGAAGATTCCAAAGGGAACATACAAAGGAAATAAAGTAGTACATTAAAAAACATTTTCTTTTATTTCTTCATAAGAGCCATTTGTGTTTTTTAAATTCCAAAATATTGCTTTCATTCAAGGTTGTTGTTTCAATAGTCAAAAGAAAATCTCTGGAAATCAGTTTCTCTTTAGCTCCAGAAAAATAAATCTGAATTGTGAATCTTTAGTAATGAGACTTAGAAAACTCAATACCCTGGATCATTGCTGTGTCCTTCCTCATGGTAATTTGGTATGCTATTCATGAGACCATGATGAGAATACATTTGAAATTCTCTTTTAATTTTCCAGTGGCTTCACTCATTCTGAAAGCAAATGTAATATTTTACAACAGCCAAATCATTTGGAAACAAGCCTCAAGAAAAAAAAACATTAACTATTTGGGATAAAAACCAAGGTATGCCTACAATGTAATAAGATTAATTTTTTTGTGTGGCATGTGACCTGGCTCAAAAGATAATTTTAAAACAGAATTCAATATAGATACACAATAGATCGATGATTATAAATAGGTAGGGATATTTATCATCAACACCAGCATCATTAGAAGAGGTATACTGCCTTAAAGACAAAATTATCCCAGGCATGTTTACTTTTTACAAACTGGTATTTTTACTGTGTAATCAAATTCTCCATCCATTATCCAGATTTAAATGCATATAAAGAACCACCAAATAAATAGACACAAAGAGGAGAATCTGATTTCCCAGCAACTGAAAAATTTTTACCTATAAACTCATACCTCTACAAATAGTTTTTTTAATTCCTGAATTAAACCATGCACTAAATGATTCACAGTTTACTAAGAAATAAGAGCAAAATGTTCTCTAATTCATTTTTACTTCCAGGACATTTTTATCAAAAATTATTTTTATTTACATAATGAACACAACTCAAGGACCAAGAAGCATTGCCAATTTCTATAGTATTAATCAAAAGATAGCAGATGTTACTGCTTAGTATTTTAAATAATTAAAGCAATAACTGTATTAACTGAAAAAGCAAAGAGTAATAAAAACATCTTTGTCTTCATCCCCCATGAATCCCTTAAATAACTTAGGTAGTCAGGATGTCTGTTCCTGGCTTAGAGATTTAAATAATATCAATTGACCTATAAATGTGTTAAATGGTGAGTTAGCGTGTCCTCAGACATAAGGCACACTGTATAATTGCTACAAGTGAAATAAATTTAAGTATAAAATGTGACAACTTTAGAAAAAAAGCCCTAAAGGAAAATGAGTTCTAATAAATAGTAATTTATTTTCAAGCCCAAGTAAGTTCATTTGAAGCAGTTTATGCCCTAGAGAATTCTATCCATAAATGGGAATAATAAAACTCCATGATATTATTGAGGCATTTTAAAATATAAAAGGTAGCAATGCCAAAGTACAGGTCATGAAGGATTAATGAGAAGAATTTTGTTCTGAACACAGACCTGTATAACGGCAAGGAAAACATTAAATTTTTAAATGTATGAATTTGAATTTTGGTATCTTCACCTTCCCCAACCGCAGCTCAAGGCAGGAAAACATTATGGGCAACATTAGTTCAGGTGAACCACTCATTAGTAAGCACTGTCTTCCCAGATAGCTATGTTGGCATCAGCCAACATCACCTTTTCTCAGCACTTCTGAACAAAATCTGTCCAGAGTGCCTGTTTGGTATTCAGGACAGAACAACATTTGAAGAACTTTCTGTACTCCCCTAAAGGCCATTTTTCATCCTCAATCCAAAGGACCTAACTTTCTGGCAGACATTTACTTTTATCTTTTTAGTCAACTGTGGACTATTGCAATTACCACAGGTGTACAGGGCAGTAGAAAAAGTAGTCTCTTGCTTGATTTTCCCTGTATTTATTTACTTCCATTAAAACTTTCTGCCCAACTAGGCATTTCTTTCTCATTTGGCTGACACATTTGTTCTCTCTCATTTTTTCTCTTTTCTTTTCTGTGGCCAACAGTTTCACACTTTGATTAACAGCACTTACATATCTAAAAATCATTCTGTTGATTGCAGAGAGGACAAGATTATTGCAAAAGCAGAGATGAATAAGGAGCCATCTATTTTTACTACCAGTTAAAAAAGCAACAGGAGGCCAACTTCGTATCAACAAGCACCACAATTTCTTTACTTACAAAAGAAATCAAATTAAGCACATTCATTAGTTCAGCTTTTGGTGAATGTACTGGTGTATCAAAGTATTGAGGTCAAGTATTCACAAGCTCTAATCAGCCACAGTATTAAACAGTCTTTCCAGGGGTTGCTTTTTACTCCTGAGTCTCAACAAATATTGCAATTTATTTTGTAAATAAAGTAACCCTGCTTTTAGACAGTGCTGCCCTACAATGAAAGAGAAAATTAATCTTTCCTGAGAATTGGTGTATACTATGGCCAGAAGAACGAGGAAGAAGCCAGCAGCCACAATTGCCACTCAGAAACTGGAATGCATCTCCTGACTAGTGCAGGGTAGGAGCAAGAGAGAAGGACGAGCACGCCAATAAAAGCTCATTAGTGATGACAAATCATGCAGGGTCCCTGAGAAGGACTGCACTCATTTGCAATTTAAGTCTCTTAATGAGAATTTAATTTACTTTCTAATGTTGTCACATATTTCGTTACAGTTCTATTCCCCTTGAAGAGTATCCAACATGATCTTTTTATAATATAAATTAAACTACAAAGAGAATACAAAGGGTATATTCTGCATTCAGCAGAAAGGTAGAAGACACAAAGAGGAGGTATTTTACAAACAACAGGCTAGCCTCCTAGGACAGGATAACAGCAGCCTGCTTACCTTGGTTGCAATCTTTACATTAGTATGAGAAAAATTAGCCTTTTCCAGTCCAGGGTATTCTGGGCTCCTTTCCAAGCAATAATGGTGGCCAGTATGTCCAAGATAATGAAGACTCAATTATATAACTCATTTTACACATATGTTTACTACAGGTGACCATGTTGGTTACATTGGCTTGACTAGAGTCAGCAGGAGAAACAAGTTGCCATATAAGCCTTAAACTCTCAAAGGTGCAAGTACAAGTTACACTTTTTACTCATATTCCTCCCCTTCGAAGTGATAAAAACTTCTCAAATTCCACCCCAGATCTCCTTACACCCTCCACCAAAATGGAGTTAATGAGATAGACGATTAGTGGCCTAACTTTTAGCACTTCTTCCTTTATTAGAAGACGGCTTTATGAGGTATAATATCATCACCATGAGGTAGGGTTCCTTTTGACAGAACAGGTAATAGAAGACTATGGGAAGCACAGTTTTGAGCAAAACTTTCTTTTTAAATACATTTTACTTGTGGGTTCTCCACTGACTTCACTCTTTGGTCAAAAGAATGGAAATTATACTGCTCTTGTCCCTGATTTCCCTTGTCATATATTTATTCATTGTCTCTCTTCTCTTTCATTTTTCCTCTTTCTCTCTATAATGTCTCCTTCTAGCTCCTCAAGTCTTGTCTAACCTGCACAGTTTTTGACCCACACAACATTTCTCTAATTTAATAAGGTAACTCTTTGATGAGTTTTTCTCCCTATACAACAGATTTCTCTCTCTGACCAATATTTTCCAATTAAAATTTGTCAAAATATTCTATAACCAAAATATTGTATAATTATTCATCAGTCTTGATAAAGCTAAAATACTTTAAAAGACTGAAGAGAAAATTAACTAGGTATTTAACTTTTTCACAACGTAAGGGGTAACTTTTGGTGGGTTTTATTGGGAAGAATCAGACTTGCAAAGGAAGAGAGTAGATTAAGCCAGAGATTGAGGAAAAAACAGATTTGTTTATTTATTGGTGCCTTTTGGTGTTTTAAAATGTCATCATGGACAGACTTATTGAGTCTCTTTCTTCCAGTTTCCTGACATATGACCAATGCCACACTCTCTATTGCAGGAAGCTGCTGACCAGTTATTTGCAATAAAAATTGCAGCTGCTCTCATGTTTCTACCTCAAGGAACAATCCCTGATCAGTTGAGAGTCCTGACGTGATCTACAACACACCTGTGACAGCAAAAATGCTTCATTAACAAACAAAAGGGAAAATAACATTACGTTTATGAATAAATAATCACCTTTTGTAGAAAATTGACTTCCTCATACTGAGTAGAATAATGAGGAGACCAGATATTACAGCACTTAAGATAATAGATTTTTGTGTAAGAGTCCTTGGATTCAGTTACGGCTCTAATATTTATTCAGCAGGAAACATTAGGTGAGTTAATCTTTCTGAGCCTTATTTTTGTCATTTTTAAAATGAAGATTATAATATAACTCACAAGACTGTCATTAAGGTTAAATAAGATTAAATAAAGCAATTGCCATATCTCACATTGTCTAATGCTCAAATAATTATATTTTTAAATAGATATGTAAAAAGGAAAAATATTAATAATTAGTTGAGAGTCAAAGAAAAATTATCTAATGAGCATGTGTAATGTCAGCTTTTGTTGTACAAGGTATCATGTTAATTTCTGGGGCTACAGGAAAAAGCTCAAACAGCATTTCAATTATTTAAGGGAACTATCTAACAACAATTTCTGATTGAAACAAATTATCTGCCTCAGAAAGCCAAAGTAGATCTAATCTGGTGTTTGGAAAATGAAGTAGAAGATATTTAACACTTTGAAATGTAAAATATTTACACAAATTTTGAGTTACGTAAGAGTTAAGCTAATTATGTTCTGTAAAGAAAATATCAAGGGTATCCACTGACTTTCTCTGATACAAAAGATTTTTTAATTTAATACTTTTTCAGATGGAATTAGTGATGTGTGCAGTAGATGCGCTCATAATTATTTTACTTTATTTGTTATGAATTATATAATCATATATATTTATGATTTTATGATTTATGAATACAGTGTAGAATAAGGAAATTAAACTAATTAACATACCCATCCCCTCAAATACTTATCTATTTTTTTGTGGTGAGAACATCTGAAGTTTACTCTCGGCAATTTTGAGATGTTACAATGCACTATCATTAACTATACTGACCACATTGTGCAAGAGATCTAAAAAAAAAAACAAATTAATTTCTCCTTTCTGAGATTTTGTAACATCACCTCCTCATTTGCCCCATCCACCATCCTCTGTAACCACCACTTTACTCTCCACTTTTGTAGATTTGATTGTTTTAGATTGTACATATAAATGACACATGCAATATTTGCTTTTCTGCATTTGACTTATTTCACTGGGCATAATGTCCTCCCGTTCCATTTCTGTTGCTGCAAATGACCAGATCTCATTCTTTTTGAAGGCTGAATAGTATTCCATTGTGTATATATATCACATTTTCCTTATCCATTCATCTGTTGACAGACATTTAGGTTGACTCGCAACTTGTCTGTTGTGACTAGTGCTGCAATGATCCTAAGAATGTAGACATCTCTTGACAAACTGATTTCAAATACTTTTGGTAAATACAAAAAAGTAGGATTACTGGATCACATAGTAATTCTATTTTTAGATTTCTTGAGGAACTTCCATACAGTTTTCCATAAGGGCTGTACCAATTTACATCCCCACTAACAGCGTACAGGGATTTCCTTTTCTCTACATCCCTGCCAACACTTGCTATCTTTCATCACTTTAATAATAGTCATTCTGACCTGTGTGAGAGTCCATCTTATTGTGGTTTTAATTTGCATTTACTTAATGATTAGCAATGTTGGGCATTTTCTAACAAATCTGTTGGCCATTTGTATGTCTTCTTTTGAGAAATTTCTATTGGAGTCCCTTGCCCATTTTTAATTGGGTTTTTTGTTTTCTTGCTATTGAATTGAGTTTCTTATATATTTTGGATATTAACCCCTTACCAGATGTATGACTTACAAACATTTTCTCTCAATTCTTAGTTGTTCCTTCTCACTGTTAATTGTTTCCTTTGCTCTGTAGACACGTTTTAGTTTAATGTAATCCTATTTGTCTATTTTTGGTTTTGTTGTCTGTACTTTGGGGGTCAAATCCAAAAAATCTTTGCTCACACCAGTGTTGTGAAGCTTTTCCCCTATGTTTTCTTCTAGTAGTTTTACAGTGTCTGGTTTATGTTTACAACTTCAATCCATTTTGACTTGATTTTTGTATATGGTATGAGATAAAAATCCAATTTCATTTTTTACATGTGTACATCCAGGTTTCCCAACAGCATTTATTGAGAGACTATCATTTTCTATTGCGTGTTCTTGGCAACTCTGTCAAAAGTCAGTTGACTATACATGTGTGGGTTCATTTCTGCACTTTCTATGTTATTCCATTGGTCAACATGTCCATTTTTATGCCAGTACCGTGCCATTTTAATTACTATACCTTTGCGATATAGTCATGCCTCCAGCTTTGTTCTTTTTATTCCTGATTGCCTTGGCTATCAAAGACCATTGTTGGGTCTCTTGTGGTTCCATATGAATTTTACAATTATTTTTACTATTTCTATTAAAAAGTGACTAGAATTTTGATAGTAATGGCACTGAATCTGTGGATCACTTTGAGTAGTATAGACATTTAAAAAATATTCATTCTTTCAAACCATAAACACAGTATATCTTTCCATTATTTGTTTTGTCCTCCATACTCGTAGTTTTCAGTGTACAGGTGTTTCATCTCCTTGGTTAAATTTGTTCCTATTAAAGTATTTTATGTACTGGGCATATGATCTATAATCCCAGCATTTTAGGAGGCCAAAGCAGGAGGAGTGTTCAAGGCCAAGAGTTCAAGACCAGCTTAGATATTATAATAAGATCCCATCTCTACAAAAAACAAAACAAAACAAAACAAAACAAAAATTAGCTAGGCATGGTGGTGTGTGCCTGTAGGCCCAACTACTTCAAAGGCTGAGGCTGGGAGGATCACTTGAACCCAGAAGGTTAAAGTGAGCTATGATCATGACACTGTATTCCACTGTGGGCAACAGAGCAAGCCCCTATTTCGAAAAAAAAGGTTTTTATTTTATTTTTGTAGCTACTGTAAATAGAATTGTTCTCTTGAATTGTTTTTTAGATAGTTCATTGTTAGTGTATAGTAATGCAACTGATTTTTGTATGTTGTATCGTCTAACTTTACTGCATTCACTTATTAGTTTTAACAATTTATGGCATCTTCAGGCTTTTTCTATATATTAATATAAGATTATGTCATCAGAAAATAGTGACAATTTCACTTTTTTCTTTCCTGTTTTGGATGCCTTTAAGACTTCCAATACTACAGTGACTAGAAGTGGGGAGAGTGAACACTATTTTTTGTCCCAGACCTTAGAGGAAGGCTTTTAATTTTTCATTATTGAGCATGTTTGCTGTGGGCTTCTCATATATGACCTTTATTGTGTTGAGGTACTTTCCTTCTATGCCTAATTGGTATAAAATTTCTATCACTGGTGAAAGTTTCTATCATTAAAGGATGTTGAATTTTGTCAAAAGCTTTTTCTGCATCTAATGAAATGATAGTATGGTTTCTATCCCTCATTCTGTTAATGTGAAGTATCACATTTAATGATTTGTGCATTTTGAACCATCCTGGAATCCCAGGGATAAATCCCACTTGATCATGATGAGTGATCCTTTCAGTGTGCCGTTGAATTCAGTTTGCTAGTATCTGATGGGTAATTTTCTTTTCTTATAATGCCCTTTCCTGGCTTTGATATCATAATAACTCATAAAATGAATTTGAAAGTATTTCCTCCTCTTTGATTTAGAAGAGTTTGAGAAGGTTTGGTATTCTTTAAATGTTTGGCAGAATTCAGTAGTGAAGCCATCAGGTTCTGTGCTTTCCTTTGATAGGGGACTTTATATTACTGATTCAGTTTCCTCACCAGTTATTGGTCTTTTCAGATTTTCAATTTCTTTAAAATTCATTCCTGGTAGGTTGCATGTGTCCAGAAATCTATTTCACCTAGGTTATCCAAAATGTTGGCAGATAAATCTTCATAGCAGAACTTTGTATTTTTGAAGTGTCAGTTATAATGCCTCCTCTTTCATTTGTAATTTTATTTGAGTCTTCTCTTTTTTCTTAGTCTAGCTACAGGTTTGTCTATTTTTTCTTTTCAAAATACCAACTCTTAGTTTTATTGATCTTTTATATTGTTTTTCTAGCTCTATTTCATTTATTTCTTTTCTGATATTTATTATTTACTTCCTATGCTAACTTTGGGCCTCATTTGTTCTTTACCTAGTTTTTTTTTTTCTTCAAATCTTTTGCCCATTTTTATTGGGCTGTTTATTTTCTTACGATTGAATTTTGAGTATTCTTTTTTTTTAATACTTTAAGTTCTAGGTTATATGTGCACAATGTGCAGGTTTGTTATATATGTATACATGTGCCATGTTTGTGTGCTGCACCCGTTAACTCGTCATTTACATTAGGTATATCTCCTAATGCTTTCCCTCCCCCCTCCCCACATCCCATGATGGGCCCCGGTGTGTGATGTTCCCCTTCCTGTGTCCAAGTGTTCTCATTGTTCAATTCTGACCTATGAGTAAGAACATGCAGTGTTTGGTTTTTTGTCCTTGCGATAGTTTGCTGAGAATGATGGTTTCCAGCTTCATCCATGTCCCTACAAAGGACATGAACTCATCCTTTTTTATGGCTGCATAGTATTCCATGGTGTATATGTGTCACATTTTCTTAATCCAGTCTATCATTGATGGACATTTGGGTTGGTTCCAAGTCTTTGCTATTGTGAATAGTGCCACAATAAACATATGTGTGCATGTGTCTTTATAGCAGCATGATTTATAGTCCTTTGGGTATATACCCAGTAATGGGATGGCTGGGTCAAATGGTATGTCTAGTTCTAGGTCCCTGAGGAATCGCCACACTGTCTTCCACAATGGGTGAACTAGTTTACAGTCTCACCAACAGTGTAAAAGTGTTCCTATTTCTCCACATCCTCTCCAGCACCTGTTGTTTCCTGACTTTTGAATGATCGCCATTCTAACTGGTGTGAGATGGTATCTCATTGTGGTTTTGATTTGCATTTCTCTGATGGCCACTGATGATGAGCATTTTTTCATGTGTCTGTTGGCTGCATAAATGTCTTCTTTTGAGAAGTGTCTGTTCATCTCCTTCGCCCACTTGTTGATGGGGTTGTTTGTTTTTGTCTTTCTTTTTTTTTTATTATCATCTTTATTGAGATATAATTTATATACCATACAACCCACTTAAAATATACAAATAAGTTGGTTTTTAGTAGTCACAAAGTTGTGCAACCATCACTACAATCAATTTTGCAATTTTATCAACCCAAAAAGAACATCTGTGCCCATTCACAGCCACTCTATATTCCCCCAACACCCTGCGCCACATTCTAGCCCTAGGCAACCACTAATCTACTTCCTGTCTCTCCATATTTGTCTGTTCTGGTATATGATTCTATGTTTTCTTTATTATTTCAATCGTTTTGGGGGAACAGGTGGTGTTGGTTACACAGATAAGTGCTTTAGTGGTGATTTCTGAGATTTTGGTGCACCCATCATCCGAGCAGTGTATACCGAACCCAATGTGTAGTCTTTTATCCCTCTCAGCCTTCCCCCACAAGTCCCTAGAGTCCATTATATCCTTCTTATGCCTTTGTGTTAGAGGACTGTTCTTTATGTCTCTTTTTTTAAATTTTTTAATTTTTTTAATTTTATTATTATTATACTTTAAGTTTTAGGGTACAACCTACTCATCTGACAAAGGGCTAATATCCAGAATCTACAATGAACTCAAACAAATTTACAAGAAAGAAGCAAACAACCCCATCAAAAAGTGGGTGAAGGAGATGAACAGACACTTCTCAAAAGAAGACATTTATGCAGCCAAAAAACACATGAAAAAATGCTCATCATCACTGGCCATCAGAGAAATGCAAATCAAAACCACAATGAGATACCATCTCACACCAGTTAGAATGGCAATCATTCAAAAGTCAGGAAACAACAGGTGCTGGAGAGGATGTGGAGAAATAGGAACACTTTTACACTGTTGGTGAGACTGTAAACTAGTTCAACCATTGTGTAAGTCAGTTCCACAAAGTCAGGAAGGTGATTCCTCAGGGATCTAGAACTAGAAATACCATTTGACCCAGCCATCCCATTACTGGGTATATACCCAAAGGACTATAAATCATGCTGCTATAAAGACACATGCACACGTATGTTTATTGCAGCACTAGTCACAATAGCAAAGACTTGTAAGCAACCCAAATGTCCAACAATGATAGACTGGATTAAGAAAATGTGGCACATATACATCATGGAATACTATGCAGCCATACAAAAGGATGAGTTCATGTCCTTTGTAGGGACATGGATGAAATTGGAAATCATCATTCTTAGTAAACTATCGCAAGAACAGAAAAGCAAACACTGCATATTCTCACTCATAGGTGGGAATTGAACAATGAGAACACATGGACACAGGAAGGAGAACATTACACTCTGGGGCCTGTTGTGGGGTGGGGGGAGGGGGGAGGGATAGCATTAGGAGATATACCTAATGCTAAATGACGAGTTAATGGGTGCAGCACACCAGCATGGCACATGTTTTTTTCTTGTAAATTTGTTTGAGTTCTTTGTAGATTCTGGATATTAGCCATTTGTCAGATGAGTAGATTGCAAAAATTGTCTCCCATTCTGTAGGTTGCCTGTTCACTCTGGTGGTAGTTTATTTTGCTGCGCAGAAGCTGTTTAGTTTAATTAGATCCCATTAGTCAATTTTGGCTTTTGTTGCCATTGCTTTTGGTGTTTTAGACATGAAGTCCTTACCCATGCCTATGTCCTGAATGGTATAGCCTACGTTTTCTTCTAGGGTTTTCATAGTTTTAGGTGTAACATTTAAGTCTTTAAATGCTACCTGACTTCAAACTATACTACAAGGCTACAGTAACCAAAACAGCATGGTACTGGTACCAAAACAGAGATATAGATCAATGGAACAGAACAGAGCGCTCAGAAATAATACCACATATCTACAAACATCTGGTCTTTGACAAACCTGACAAAAACAAGAAATGGGGAAAGGATTCTCTATTTAATAAATGGTGTTGGGAAAACTGGCTAGCCATATGTAGAAAGCTGAGACTGGATCCCTTCCTTACACCTTATACAAAAATTAATTTACCTAGTTTCTTGAGGGGTAACATTAAGTTGTTTAGTTGACATCTTTCTTCTTTCTGAAGTTCATATTGCTATAAACTTTCTTCTTACAACTGCTTTTGTTACATCCCATAAATTTTGTTATGTTATGCTTCCATTTTTCTTTGTTTCAAAATATTTTTTAATTTCTGTTTTAATTAATTTATTGACCCATTGGTTGTTTGGGAGCATATTAATTTCCATGAATTCATGAATTCTCAAAAATACCTTCTGTTCTTAATTTCTAGTTTTATACCACTAAAGGTATTTAATATGACTTCAATCTTCTAAAATTTGCTAAGGCATGTTTTGTACCCTAACATGTGATCTATTCTGGAGAATGCTTCACATATTCTTGAGAAGAATGTATATTCTGCATCTGTTGCATGGAATGTTTTGTATATGTCTGTCAGATCCATTTGGTCTAAAATATTGTTTAAGTTTAATGTTTCCTTATTAATTTTCTGTCTAGATGATATGTTCACTGTTGAAAATGGGGGCTGCACAGGGTCACTCACACCTGTCATGCCAATACATTGGGAGGTCAAGATTGCAGGATCACTTAAGGCTAGGAGTTCAAGTCTAGCCTGGGCAACATAGCAAGACTTTATCTCTATGAAAAACAACAAAAAATTAGTTGAGCATCGTAGCTCATACCTGTAGTCCCAGTTACTTAGGAGGCTAAGGCAGGAGGATCACCTGAGCCCAACAGTATGGGGTTACAGTGAACTATGGTCATGCCACTACACTCCAAATTGAGCAACAGAGTGAGAGCCTATGTCGAAAAAAAAAAAAGAAAAAAGAAGAAAAAACAGTGGGAAGTGATCACTGAAGTCCCCTACTACTATTAGTATAAGAAGGAAAAGGCACTTTCGTTACCTATTTGTGGAAGGGTAAGTTGGTGTGATCTTTTTAGAAAGAACATTTGGTGAAATCTAGCAAAATGTGTGTGTGTGTGTGTGTGTGTGTGTGTGTGTGCATATACATGTATGTTTGGCATTTTTTCAACCAATTACTGTAATTTCCAAGCAATTATTGAAAAAGTATTTTTTATTGAGTTCTTATCCAGCATTTATCATAAGATAAATTTCCATATGTAATAAGGTCTTATCCCTACTCTACTTCCATTTCTATGTGTATGTATGTGTGTGTATATATGTATATTTACATTTATACATATATATTTTAACCCAAAACCTCATTAAATGCATCTTTTCTTTCTCCTCCTCCCCCACTGCCTCTTCCCCCTCTTCTTTTTCTCCTCTCTTCTTATCTATAGGAGCATAGAATTAAAAAAATAAAAGACCTCATTCTACCTAAATTAATACATAGAAGGAGTTCTTAACCAAGAGAAAAATGTAGTAAAGTAGATACATGCAAAGCAGAAGACAAAATGCTGACTACAAAGTCCAGTGTTGTATCTACTTTCATGTAAAAATGATTATCCATTTTTCATTAATATATTTAAACCAAAGCATAAAAGTAAAATATGGTATCCATAGTAAAGTTTTCAATTGTCTTATTTGAGTTTATCACTTTCAGATACATAAATATTCTGTTCTAATCATATTAGATTTTTTTGTTTCTCCTTCATCCCTAATTTTTAAACCTTTAATTCTGTTTTAACATATCTATTGTTATTCCTTTGATTTCCCTAGTTGTTTGATATTTATTTCTCCTCTGTGTCTCACTAAGAAAAAAAACACCCAAAGGTTAGTTTAAGAAAGTATAATAATAATAAAATTAAAAAAAAAAGAGAGAGAAATTATTACTAATGGCCACTGTGACCCAGTGATGGTTTTAGGCCATATCATTCAGATTTTCTGTGCCTCCTGTTTCTCATTTTCTAAAACTTGTCATAATGACACTGACCTCCTGGCCCCCCAAGGAGGCTATGAAACTCATTACTGTTCATAAGACGTAGAACTATTATTTTGGCTGAAGACACAATTGTTTCCCATCTATGGCTTTGCAGTCTATCATAGTATCTCCCTATATCCCACAATCTTTCGTTTTTATGCTGAAAGAACAGAATTACTCCTTGACATTTTTAAATGTATTATATCACTTTGAGATGAAGTTTTCTCCAAAACAAATAAATAAAACTAAAGATATAAGGTCTCATATCCATGAAGGTTAGGGGCCATGGCTGATAGAAAACAATTTTGTAAAGCACTGATTTTCAGACCCAGAATTTAATTTTGTCTTCTCTATATGACAACTGCTGTCTAAGGGTATTTTGATGCTATTATGATTGGAAGAAAGAGGTTGAGAGATTATACTGAATGTTGGATATGGGCATCCCTGAAGGATTACAAGAGCTTTATTTTGAACAAGAGAAGGTAATCTGTTTGGGAGTCTAAGGTTTGCAACCTGAGGTCTAACCTTGTCAGGTTTGCCACATATAAAGTGGTTTCTTTCTTTGTGTTCATGTTGGGAGATAGCTCTTTCTGCCTTATCCCCACTTTGCTTTTCGCTGCTCTATTCCCAGCACCTATTAATAGAACAATAACTGGGAAATAATTGTTGACTGACTATGTGATTCTTATTCCATCTAACAGCTTGGGAAATATTGCAGCACTAGATGTTCATCATAATCTATGCTCACTCTAGAAACAAGGAAAACCAAACAGAATTTGCTTGAGATGTTACATAGTGGGAATGAAATCTTTTATCTTTCCATAAATCAAAAACAGAGATTTTCTGAGAGAAATTATTATCTAAAAATAAACTGTGCAGTGAAGTATAGCACCAGAATTGTGTCTTATTTAGAAGAAGCAGGAGCAGTTCCATAATGCATATACTAGAGATCATTTTTTTTCTTATATCAGATAGCTTCGGGTGTTTAATAAATATTTGGGAGAATATGTTTTACCTAATTCATCAAGATTCAAATTGAATATCCCAGGAGCAATTAAATTGCTTAAGTCAAACTCTTTCATATTGAACATTTTCTACTCGGAGTGTAAATAAAACTACCAAGTTAATGGCTCTCATTTTGAGGGTAGGCAAAAAGGAAAAAAGGAATAACGACGACTCCTACCAACATGACAAAGATTAAATAAACAAAATTTATTCACATTTTATGGCCCTAAATAATTAATGCAATATGATATATAAACATAAGAGGATTAGATTTCATTAGAAATTTACTTCTAATAAACATGCAACATAATTATATTACATAATTAACATTTTGAATTTAAATATCTCACTACTCATACACAATAGAGTGTATAAAGTTTCTGTTCTGTGCATTATTATTTCAGAATGCATTATTTCCAGAGACTTCTCTGTTACTATCAAACATTGCCTTACTGCCAGGATTAATTTTAATGACATCAATGGCAAAGACAAATTATTTAGCCACCGTATTCTAGGCAAACCTTTTTATTTCATTTTGTTACAGAGAATGCTTCTCACCTTCTGGCTGTTTTCCTTCCAGTTAAAGACATCTAAGCCCAATAAATTTTAAAGGTAATCTTACAATTCTTCAAGATCTAGTAAAAGCACATGAGAATATATTTTCTATATAGGATCTTTAAACAATTTAAATAAAAGAAACCCTTTCAAACAGCTAGTCATTTTAGATATGCCTAGTAAATAATTTTAGTAAAATGTTAGTAAAATCCAAAAAATACATTATTTCACTGGATCATTTGACAAGAACATAGCTTCAAGCCAGATGTCATCATGTGTTGATGAAATGTAATCCTCTGCTTGTGGACTTGACTAAATTTTGTTGGAGGCAAAAACTATGTAACAATCTTGTTAAGGAAAAGTAGCAGGTGAATTAAGGAAAGACCTCCAGATAAATATAAAATAAATACATGCTGCCAAATGCATTATAAGAAAAGATTTTAAATCCTTCTTTGAAATTATAGCTATCAGTCTTATTTCTCCTTCAGGGATACTAAGGACTACGTTAACAATGACAGCCTTCATCAGGACACAGAAGAAACACAGTAAACCTGGAATTTATGTGTCGAAGATGTGGCGCTATGAGATGAAAGAGGCTGAGCTTCTAAAGCACTGTTTTAAATAGAGCCACTCTTCTACCAGAAACATCTCTTTTGTACTTGACAGGCATTAAAAATTAACACTCACATTTGACCCGTTATCCAATCTGAGTTTTGTTTGCTGTAGCAACTATGATGACCTTAATCCATCTGGCTAAAGAAAAAGCTATCTTTTCCAACTCTAGACATGACAGAAACATTGATTACTTTACATTTTAAGTTTGAAATAATTTTAACATTAATGTGACCGTAGAGATTTGTAAAGCTTTTTAGTGTTCGCACCTATGGTTTGCTTTTGATCTTCTAGTCATATGCTTTCAATGAAGCACTTTAAAACCAGCGGCAAGGAGACTGTGGCTATGTTAAACTTGTATTAATTTATCCCTTTCAAAGATTTTCAATTTTTCTCACCCTGGAATATCAAATTTCTATTAATGCAAAAGCACTATGTATGTTTTCCTCTGGGCTGAACCGTGGCACCCAATTTATTGCCTATCAGATAATGCTATTATCAGGTATGAGGGTCTAAGTTGCAACAGTGCTGCCAATCTGTATAACTGTCCTACCTTTTAAAATACAATGTATCATAGAATGGATTTATATTTTGTATCAAACAATGAAAATAAGAAACATGTTATTAAAATAACATTAATCTCAGTGGTGTAGGAAAATAGAAAAAACTGACAAATGAATAGCAATGAATAAATATGATGAGGATTCTGTTAAATTATAATGAATTAATTCACTTGACCTGCTGCTATGCCAAGCTATGAGCAACCCCTTCCTGTACCAAGTATTTTAATGAAATATATCATTTAATACTTACAATCCTATGACATAGGTACTATTATCATTATTTGCATTTTGCAGATAAAGAGAAAGGTTTAGTGAAACAAAACTACTTGTGCAAAATCCGTGACAAGCTGTAAAGCTTCAACCCAGCACGGTGTTTTTCTCCAAGCCTATGTGCTTTTCCATCGTGCTCAATGTGCTCAGTATAGCTGGGTATTATAAAGTATCAGTCAATGTGGTTTTCTTTAAATTTTTTCTCAGACTGTCTTTCATCTTATGATTCTACCCTATTTTGTCAATTGATATAAGATCACCATTGCACCAAGTATTAGCAAAACTAGAGAATTAAACTGTTAAATTCTTGATGTTAAAACCAATTATAAAATGTAGGCTAGCCTACTGAAACCATCAGACATAGAAGCAACCTTGGAATCATAGGTCTTAAGTCCTTAAATTTACAGATCAGAAACCCAAGGCCTAAGGAGCTACAATGCCTTGAAGAGTTATATATTTAGTACATGGCACATCTGAGTAGAAAACTCTTGTTTCTTTTTTTAAAAATTATTCTTTTTATTATTTTTATTTGCTACCAATATTTTTATTGTAAGAAATAAAAAGGTATGACAAATATACAAACTATTTTCTCTTTTTGCTTCATTCAATTTAGCTTTCACATAAGTGAACGCATTGGACAGCGATATTTCAACATCATTTTTGAAAAAAAACAATGAATTTCATCATCTGACAATAAATACCTAAATTTGCATTCTAGAACCCCGTAAGACATCCAGTTTCCAAAGGATTATTGATAATAACCCTCTGAATTTTCTGACATGTTACCTTTGTCACTGCAACAGAAACACCACTGCAGTTTTCCCTCTCCCAATAAGTCAGAGTAAGGGGCAGGCAAGAATGTCTATCTGACTCCAGAAACCCTGGGTCATAAAGCATCCCTTACTTGAGCTACTTTGATGAAGGGCTAATATCCAGAATCTACAATGAACTCAAACAAATTTATAAGAAAAAAACAAACAACCCCATCAAAAAGTGGGCAAAAGACATGAACAGACACTTCTCAAAAGAAGACATTTATGCAGCCAAAAAACACATGAAAAAATGCTCACCATCACTGGCCATCAGAGAAATGCAAATCAAAACCACAATGAGATGCCATCTCACACCAGTTAGAATGGCAATCATTCAAAAGTCAGGAAACAACAGGTGCTGGAGAGGATGTGGAGAAATAGGAACACTTTTACACGTTGATAGGACTGTAAACTAGTTCAACCCTTGTGGAAGTCAGTGTGGTGATTCCTCAGGGATCTAGAACTAGAAATACCATTTGACCCAGCCATCCCATTACTGGGTATATACCCAAAGGACTATAAATCATGCTGCTATAAAGACACATGCACACATATGTTTATTGCAGCACTATTCAAAATAGCAAAGACTTGGAACCAACCCAAATGTCCAACAATAATAGACTGGATTAAGAAAATGTGGCACATATACACCATGGAATACTATGCAGCCATAAAAAATGATGAGTTCATGTCCTTTGTAGGGACATAGATGAAGTTGGAAATCATCATTCTCAGTAAACTATCACAAGAACAAAAAACCAAACACCGCATATTCTCACTCATAGGTGGGAATTGAACAATGAGAACACATGGACACAGGAAGGGGAACATCACACTCTGGGGACTGTTGTGGGGTTGGGGGAAGGGGGGAGGGATAGCTTTAGAAGATATACCTAATGCTAAATGACGAGTTAGTGGGTGCAGCGCACCAGCATGGCACATGTATACATATGTAAGTAACCTGCACATTGTGCACATGTACCCTAAAACTTAAGATGTAATAATAATAAAATAAAATAAAATAAATTAAAAAATAAAAATAAAAACAGATTTAATGATAGGGTACTTAATGAAAGTTTTGGTGGTCCTTGAATGACGTATTTTACACTACATATGTACCTACTTTTCTATTCTCCTCCTCAGATGGGAAAGGTCTAGATAAACTGGCCTCTATCCCGCAGCTCTTCTCCACAATGGTTAAGAACAGTTCAACACGGAGGACCAGCAGTAAATGACCTTTAAAAAGTGTAATAATAACTATTGCCAAAATAATCTTATTAATCATAGAAAATGGCTTCTATTCTTCTGCTCCTTGTTCTGTCACACAGCTGTTGCTGTAAAAACACTTGTTTACAGGTTCTATGTAATTTTGACTCAGTCCATAATCTCTCCACCCTAATTTTAAAAATTATCATCAGGGTGGATGTGCTAGTATACTAAGAAACATCTGTTAATATTATTTATTTTCTTTATTTAATCTTTTTCATAGATTCACTTGTTTTAAAATATCTTAGGTTTATAATCTCTTTGCAAAGCTCAATAAATCATTTTAACAGCTAAAAATAAAAACTTAAAAATGAACTCCAGATAAATATGAAGATTCAAAACTATGTGGAATCTCTGCCCATGTCCCTCTTTCCTCACAAAGAATTCCCTACCTTCTACGGCGGGGCAGACAATCAAGCCTTGGGTGGATGGGGTGCATAAACAGGTGGGACTGAGTCAGGTTCAGTCAGTCCACACATGTCCACATCCAGCTTGAGAAGCAGCCACGTCTTCTCATTTTGCCAAGAATCACAAATAACACTGAGAAGCACAAGACTTGGAAGAATATCATAACCGTGAGGAGATGACTCCACTCTAAAACATGGCCAAAACTGTGGATCCAGGCAAGAATACAGAAACTTGAAGAGAAGCAATAACAGAGAGGCCTCAACCTGGGACAAGCTACCTTCCTCCAACCAACGTTTGATTGTCTCTAGCCCCTCAGGTTTTTAGGCAGTCCATGGAAGAAGGCAGGAGAAAAGAAACCCTGTTTACTGAATTTAAAATGGATCTAATTTGGAGAACCCATAATTGAGTGACATTACATTATCTGCCATTAGGCAGCATAGGAACTTAAAATAGAGATTCAGTTGAAATAAAAAAAACAGTTACAGTATTTGTACATGAAACTACATAGCCTTAAGTACCCCTGCATAAAGAATATATTGTTCACATGTTTTGTTTGTGTTCACTGCTACGCACATTTTTGTTCATAATTTCATCCTCTTAGGACTCGGATGAATTCTCATAAGGAATTGTAGGCAGGTAAGAAACACTTCAGAGAATGGCATGGGAAGAAAAGGGAAAGAGAAGGTGTTTAGCACTTAGTGAGCACTTTAAAATGATTTCCTAAACTTAGCAGGAATATGGTAGAGGGTCCCATATTATCATCCTCCTTTAACTTAGAAATCTTCACGAAGAAAAACACTGGGAAATCGACACTAGATCCAGTACAATGTCTTCCTTTTTCTCTATAAATTAGCTATCCATAATATGTCTTATCTGAGACTTCACCACTTACATTTCCAGGGAATTCCCTGGGAGAATTACTACTAAGGGTGTGTCAGAATTATTAGTACATGCCTGTCTGCAAAGGGAAACAAATCGTTACAATATATGTGCATGCAATTTAGTGTCTCTACTAATCTATTTCAAAATAAAGGATAATTGATAGGTTAACTATATTCTAGAAAGGAAGCAGGGTGATTCACTGCTTTCTTTCTTTCTTTTTTTTTTTTTTAGACGAAGTCTCGCTCTTGTCCCCCAGGCTGGAGTGCAATGGCACGATCTCGGCTCACTGCAACCTCCGCCTCCCGGGTTCAAGCGATTCTCCTTCCTCAGCCTCCCTAGTAGCTGGGATTACAGGCACCTGCCACAGTGCCTGGCTAATTTTTGTATTTTTAGTAGAGACGGCGTTTCACCATATTGGCCAGGCTAGTCTCGAACTCCTGACCTCAGGTGATCCGCCCACCTCAGCCTCCCAAAGTGCTGGGATTACAGGCGTGAGCCACCGTGCCTGGCCTCACCTCTTTCTTAATAAAAAGTCAGATTCATTTCTTACTCCTTTAAACTTTGGGATTTAATTATACTAATAAGAAGTGTAAACATTTTTAGCCTTCTCAGAATTTCATTGAAGTTAGTATTAAAATTAGTTGTCAAATATCCATAGATTCATTGCAATTTTCTACACATGGTAAAGAGTTTGTTAAACTAGAAAATTTACAAATGATTTTACTCTATAATTGGTTTTCTATTTGTTAGATTTCTTTGCTAAAAAAAAATTCTCAGGAAAATTTTCAAGTTACACTGTGAACAGAAAGTGTAAACTTCTATGGTTATTGTCATACCCACCTAGAAATTATCACTCTTTTTTTGTTGTTGTTTTTGTCTTTGAGATGGAATCTCGCTCTGTTGCCCAGGCTGGAGTGCAGTGGCAGGATCCTGGATCACTGCAACCTTCACCTTCTGGGTTTGAGCAATTCTCCTGCCTCAGCCTCCTGAGTAGCTGGGATTACAGGCGCCTGCCACCACGACCAGCTAATTTTGGTATTTTTGGTAGAGACGAGGTTTCACCATGTTGGCCAGGCTGGTCCCAAACTCCTGGCCTCAAGTGATCTGCATGCCTCAGCCTCTCAAAGTGCTGGGATTACAGGTGTGAGCCACTGCACCCAGCTGATAACCACTCTTTTATGAGAAGAAAATCAATATTATGCAAAATGGTTAAGAGAGGAAGGAAGACATCAAACCCAAGGAGAAACTAGACAGTGTATGGCCTGGCTTTATAAGTAATAGAGTGCAATCCCCAAGGAAAATCTAAGCCATCTTCTTAGAGCAATTCTGGATGAATAAATAATAAGTGATTATGGTAGTAGAAAATGGCTGTGTTTTCTACTAATGAAATTAAGAGGTTGAAACTAAGCTACTTTATAAACTTGAAGAACTGTCTTTTATTAAGTGGATTAGCTCCATTAATGCTTTTAGCTGCATTAATCTTCCTTATCTAAACCATGCATGTTTTAACAAATGAAAATATTACATGGTCTAGGTCAACTTTCATCTGCAGCAGCAGTAAGTTTTAAAATATTAAAAAGAAAGAAGATATTTAATTACCTAATCACATTGCAGGGCTGAGAAGCAAATGCTTTTCTATAAAATCCCTGGTGAATGTAAGACTGATTATCTTGGTTTTGCAATATTTTTAAAGACTAATGTATTGGTAGGGGGAAAAAAATGCTGATGACTCAAATGTCAACCTAAAGAATAAGTTTCTATAATCTATTCATTTATAGGAATAGAAAACATATGTATTTCTTAGTCTTTTTGGAGGGAAAAAATTTGATAAATCTGTAAACGTATAGTTTAGTATATCCTCTGAATTATTGTATTATGAATTAAAATAAAAAGAAATATTAAAATATTTTACATTTTTAAGCCTAATAAGTAGTAGATAAAAGAAAATCTGTTAAAAGAAATGGTCATCTTAGGTTAAAGAGAGGAATCTGATCAATATAATAAAAATGATTTTCATTAAACATAGAAAACAAAATTCTATTTACTTAACCTACTAAAAATTGACATCCCAAAAACTTACAGGAATCCAGCCTTAAACATGAAATCTTGGTAATATTTTCTTTAAAGTCTTAGATAAGTCAAGAGTGCTAAGCACTTACTGTTTCTCTTCAACATCATAGAAAATGTTCTATCAAATTAAAAAAAAGAAAAAAGTACAATGCATGAGAATCAGAAAAGAAAAAAATGGCATTTTTGTAGATAATATGTTGTCTAGGCAGAAAACTTAAAGCATTTTACAAAAAAAAATTATTAGAATTTATAAGAGATTTAAACAAGATGATAGATCCAAAACCAATATACACAGCCTAGAGCCAAGCCACTATAAAGGAAAATTTTAGGTCACTGCTATTGTATTAATTATTTACTGCTAGGTAACAAAGTACTCAAAACTCAGTGGCTTAAATAAACAGCATTTATTTTCTCACAGATACTGCAGGTTAGGATTCAAATGTGATTGGGTCCTCTGGCTCGCTCTGGGTCTCAAACAAAGACTGCAATCAAGGTGTTGGCTGAGTTGCAGTCATAGGAAGGCTCACCTAGGAAACAATCTGCTTCCAAGTTTACTCAAGTGGTTATTGGCAGGACCCAGGTACTTGCTGACTTGGCTAGAGGTCTCCCTTGATTTCTTCCCTGGAAGCCTCTGATGTGCTTTATCAGAATGATGATGGCAGAGACAGAGTGCAAGCAAGAGTAAGACATGTCACAGCCATTTCTTTAAAGATAAAAGTCAACATTTATTCTTTATTTTTAAAACTCCCCTGCTAAATGAGGAAAGAGAAGGCTTTATTAATGTGATAAAATATATCTTCTGAAAAAACACCCAGCATTATTCTTTTTTAAAATAGCTTGTCAATCTTTTAGAATGTAATCTTAGAAGTGATATCTCATCACTTTTGCCATAATCTATTGATTAGAAGCAAGTCCCTAGGTCCACTGCTCACACTAGGGGAAGGAGACTGCACGAGGGCATGGGTAGTACCATGGCAGGTACCATTGCCAGCCATTTTAGAAGCAGCCAACCACAGCTATACAGAGAAAAACCATCCTTTGACTTTCCTAATTTTCCCTGGGGCACAGGAATGGGCTGGTAGCTAAAATTCTTGTAGGAAAATTCTCTTCATTTTGCCAGGCTTTACCTATGGTGGCCATGCCTCCAGCTTTACCAGAGAAGGCTCACCTTATACCTATTGCCCAGTATTCTATCTAATTAGTACTGCCTTTCATTCTAAAGGAGTCCCAGGTTAGACAATAAATTAAATGGTCACCCTAGATCTTAGACCTTAACTAGGTTCCTCACCTAAGTTAAGTTTATTAGATCATGGACAAAAGTATATTAGCTGGATGTGGTGGCACATGCCTATAGTCCTAGCCACACAGGAGGCTGAGGCTGGAGGACTGCTTGAGTCCAGGAGTTCGAGGCTGCAGTGAGCTATGATCATGCCACTACACTCCAGCCTGGATGACAGAGTGAGACCCTGTCTCTAAAACTACAAGCAAACAAATGAAAAGTAAACAAAGTATGAATGCCTCCCATGATAGATGAGTGGTACGTTCCTATAAAGCCAGCAGGATCTACAAACAGGAGCATGGTATTTGCATATATAATTGATGCTTCTTCAGTGCCAATAGGCAGTTATCGTACAAAGGGCAGAGTGACCTTTGGCTATCTAACATAAAATTTTATCAAAGAAATATTAACTCCTCAGGTTCCTGAAAATCAAAAACGACTACAGACCACAGAAGGTCTTTAAACCTCCTGTAACTACAGGAGGTTTAAATCCCAATAAGGAAATTTCTTAAAAATGTTCCATAATACATATACCTTAATCCATTTTTTCAAAAGAAATGAATATCTACAAGTCATTAAATATCTTCAATTCACTACGGTAGCACTGAGGAGAACAATAAAAAATAAAAGGCATGATTTCTGACTTGAATATGTTTCTGGTATCTTGTGTAAAGACAGGGCTTAAAGAAATAAAAAAAATCATGAATTAAATGATCCACAGCAAAGAAGTCCTAGAGGATGTTAACAACTTAAGACATAAAAAACGTGAAAAGATCACTAATAACTGGACTACTTCAGGAGGGCTTTGCAGAAGCAAGATTTTATTAAGGTCTAAAAAATAGATCACACTTAAGTAGGACTAGAGAGGAAGAAGCCTTCAATAAGGCCCTGATGCAGAGTACTGAGATGGAAAAGCCAAAGGAACAGATTCTACAGCTAAGGAAAGTAGTTGTGATGAGGCTGGGAAGGCAGATTACAGCCATAGTGTGAAGGGCTTCAAAGACAATGCAAGAGAGTAACGAGATCAAAGTGGCAATTTTAGATTAATCTGACTAAATCATAAGATAATTAATATAATTAAATATATATAATATATTATTTTTGTTCCAATTCAGGATGAGGGAGATGACTAGAAGGACTTGTAGCAAAATGTAGAGCACAGATACCATATTCAAGGGACATCTCATGCTCACTTCAAGTCAACTGTACTCTGAAGGAATTCATGCTGAATATGGTAAGATATTCTGATCTTTAAAGAGAAGGCAAAATGCAGATTTTCCAAGTATTATATATCTCATACTTATTTTTTTCCTAGTCCACCTGAAAGCCATAAATTTTACTTATTGTCTCATTTATTCATTTAGTGTTTCTCTCTTATCAAGAAATATTTGTTCCTTTTATTCTTCACTAGACACATCCAAGGACAGGGAAATTAAATCTAGAGAGATACAGACTGGCAGAAAACAGAGTCATGACCTGTATTTATGAAAGAGTAGCAAAGCAATTGACTTCTGGCATTTAAATATATACAGACAGGACCATCATCTCCAAGTAAATATTTTTTTGGTATAATCTTTAAGGTTAAGGCTAGGGAGTTTATATCACTCATGTAAAGCTTTGTGAGAAGGACTGATAGTTATTATGAAATGCATGCACGTTATAACACTTTACATATTTTTTTAAAATTTGTCCTCTTAAAACAGTTACCAAAAAGCAAAACATAAAAATGGCCAAAAAAGCTCTGAAAAAATGAATATGTGTACAACAATTTGACCTCTCCATGCAACAGGCAGCTCTACACATAAAAAAAAATATTGATTGAGGGTGATCTATGGACTGATAGTTGAATTTAGAGATATTAATATTTAGCAATGTTTTATTTTTGCTTTAGCTTGCTTGATAAACCTTAAGAGTCTTCCCAGCATGCCTCTTATCTATGCATATACGAAATATTGGCTACTTATTTGGTTTGTTTCTTTCAGATTAAATGAGTCAACAAGCTAATAGCAACAAGAAATGGATGTTTCCTACTGTCTATTGCCAAAAAAAGGAAAGCTGAACACTCAGAAAGAGTTTTCTTCCCAGACCTGTAATAAAAAGAAATCTTTTTATCAGAAATTGTGATGATCTGTGAATCAATTGGTTTCTAATATTGTATTAGATCAATCAAGCAACATATAATATGGACATGAATTGAGCCTTAAACATATTCATATCTAACATCACCTCTACCTTTAAGGAGCTTCCAGTTGAGCAGGAAAAAGTAAGACACACAAAAAAGAAAAGCAAATTATATATGATATAAATTACTCACTTCAAAAATATTGAAGCTGTTAGATTGTTAATAAATGTTGCAAAGAATGTGGTGCCAAGGTATCCAGGAACAAGCCTGGATATTAGAGTCTGAGGACCTCAATTCTGCTCTTACTAACTTGGTGAACTTGCACAAATTGCTTAAACACTCGATAGCGCCACTGCACTCCAGCCTGGGCAACAAGAGCAAAGCTCCATCTGAAGAAAAAAGAATTACTTAAACACTCGTTTTTGCATCTGTAAATTAAATATGACACCTAGCTCATAGTATTACTATAAAGACTAAATAAAATGTTTGTGAAAACACTTATAATAGTTTTCTTGCACATTGCAAGAGTTAGATAAAAATTTTTTAAAAAGGAGGGAGAAAATGGGATTTTAATAATTTGTAAAAAGACACAGATTCCAGCTTGTAAAACTACTTAGGAGTCATAGGTCATATTTAAAAGTAAATATAAAAATAATACAAATATAATATTAAAATATTTTAAAAATTAATAAAACTGCCAAGTCATAGGATGTCTACTATGAACAATGTGAGCAGAGTCTCCCAATGAGGACCAAGAAACAGCCCAGCATTGGGTGGTAAGCAGCCTTCCTCACACAAAAACAGTTGTGCAGGGCCGAACATGGCAACTTCTTAGTTTCCCACAAGACCTTTTACAAAGGACATATTTTACCCGCAAGGATCAATGCTAAGACTCTCTTTATGCCATCCCACAGATAATTTCTGGGAAGAATCAACTTATATTTAATGAATTAAACCTTTTTGTGTTAAGACAATGAGTGATATTTATCTCTAGCTCATTTAAGTACATATACTATGTCTTTAAGAATTGCTAAGATTTGACTTCTGAGTTTTATGATCTTATTATTTTAACAGATTATTTATATACTTTACCATCCCTACTCTCTGATATTTAACATTGTGGTTCACTAGTGACCCTTATATCTCAAGGGTATTCTTTTTATGATCTCTCTCTTTTTGATCTGCTCTTGTTCACTACTTTTTCCCAAGTAACATAAAGAGTATCTGATACATACATAGTAGGTACAGTGAATGGACCCATGAATATTACCTTTGGGGGCACACTTATGCCAAGAATGCCTCCTCTTTTTCCTACATAGCTTAGCAATATTTTGTTTTATTAATTTGTCTTCTGAAATTCTATATTTCTATGGAATATTTTCAACTTAGAAAAAAGGATGGTATTTATTTATATATCTTAAACCAAAAGCCTAGGGCTTCCATGAAAAATATTCAACATAGCCCTAGACTTTATAACTTGTATATAATAGAAATGGCATGTACTACTTAGGCAAACAGTTAATATTTTATATTTTCTTCCTGTTTACTTATATCAGTTTATTTGACATAAGAGAATCTCCAAAAAGCAACAGCAGTAATCCATTAAAATTGCATTAATCCTTTATGTAGACAACAGGCTATCCCCTACACAGTATATTCTGTGTTTTTAAAAACATATCAATATACAGAACACATGAGACTGGGAAAAAAAAGAAAAAATAACAAAAAATTAAAATGTCAAACATCAAAACTATAATTTTCTATCAATGTATTTTCCACTATGAAATCTTCTATATCCAGAAAGGCTAAATGTTATAAAATTATTATTATTCAACATTTTACCACTATTCTTATGACAAATATCTAGAATTTCACACTTTTAAAAATGGGTTTGCTATTGTTTTTTCTTTAGATAGAATACACAAATTAGATTGCAGATAAGTTTTTCTCAGCAATTTACATTACTAATGATGTCTAAGAATCTAGAAGAGAAGCTAAATAAACAAGGAAAATGATAGGTTGGATGTAATCAACTTGTTGGGAATAATCCATTAATAGCTTGGGTTTTCTTTATCTTTTGGTCTCTCTCCTGAAAAATTTGCAAAGGTTTAAATACCTTTACAATAATTATTTATATAGAAAAGCTATTTTAAATAATATGTTTAGCTATTTCTTTGAACAAGAACAGAGGACCTCATTCTGCCTACTAGACAATGTTCATTTTTTGCCAACATATTTTTCAGCCAAGTCAGAATGTGAAACCAGAAGAAAAAGATAGTCTTACCTTTGGCCCTGGAGTTCCTATTTATTTATTTATTTATTGTATATATTTAAGGCATGCAATATCATGTTCTGATATACATAATGAAATGATTACTATAATTAAGCAAATTAATATATTCATCATTTCACATAGTTACCCTTGTGTGTGTCAAGAGAGCCCAAAATCTAGTCTTTTAGCAAAAATTCTGAATACAATGCAATGTTATTAACAATAGGCCTCATGTTGTACATTATATCTGGTGAAATAAGCTAGACAGAAAACATACTGCATGATCTCACTTATAATTTGGAATCTAAGCTAAAAACCAGTATTATTTTTACGGTAGAAATTAAATAATTTTTGATGATGTCAAAAAGTCTCTTTTATCATGGTGAGAACACTCCTAAAGAGTTGTAACATTGCAGTTAAAATGTTATGACATATTTGTTATATTGAAATACCACATTCATTATTTATTAAATGTTTAAATTTTAATTTTTTATGTGTTATTTTATTTCTAGGGTTTAACATTCAATATCTATTTGTGGTTATGCCAGGAACTTTCATAAACAATATTATCTTTTTAAATTTTTAAAAAAATAAAAATCGGAGCCCCTTTGATTGGGATTTCACTAATTTCACACTTCATGTTAAACAAGGACTACCCAGTACATGGCATTATTATTTGCAGAATAAATTAACACTGCAGATCACATGTTGTCTAATTAGTAAAACAGTCTGAATAAACGTTTAATAGCACAAACTCTCTTCATTCCTGAATGGGTGATTAGTCTATATATCTTCATGTTTTTTGGTGGTGGTAGTTGCTGAAGATACAGATGTGAACAAAACAGACCAAAGGTCCTGCCCTCAAGGGCATGACATTCTAGCGCAATTGTGTTTATCACAGTGAAAGCAGTATTGAGTGCCATTGATCTCTTTAAGACTGGTTGGTTTCCAAGGAAGCTGACGTTTCTTAAGTTATGCCTTCCCTCCCAAAAGACAATCCAAAAGATATTACTTTCTGAGTGTCTATATTGTACTACTCATTTGCATGCATTATTTAAAGGCTAACTTTACCTTACAACAATCCTGCAAAGTAATCACTACTATTTTTAACTTCTACATAAGTAAACTAGGCTTCACGAAGGTTATATAACTTGTCTTGGGTTGTAGATCCAGGTTCCCAGTTCCACCTTATTTTTATTTATAAGTGTATTTACATTTTAGGTTCACTTCAAGATTAATTTCTAGAAGAATTTTCACTACAGATTTGTGAATTTTTTCTTTGTTGAATATTTATTCTTTTATGTATTCAGATGGCAATTTATTGAATAAACCTGAAATATATTTATGCACTGGATTCTGGAAATATAAAAATTCATAAGACATAGTTTCTGCCCTTACAGGTCTTAGAATCCAGTACAAGGAGAGGGATGGTCTGTGTGGGTATGTGTGCATAAAAGTGTTACAGATGCTAAGATAGAATTATACGCAGAAAACAGTCTAGTCATAGAGGGGATGAACATCCATTCTGACGGAGAGGTCAGACTTCAGATGATTGTGTAGAGTCTCAAAAAATGTGAGTTGGAGAATAAAATCAAAGCAGCAACAAGTTCAATGATACAAGGGAATTAAAGTACATGGTACTTTGGGAAAATGCAATCATTGGGTAGATTTGATATATGGACTATAGTGGTTTCAAACAGTGAGTGGGTAACGAAAGGTTTTTTTATGCCATGATAAATAATTAGGCCTCTCTACAGTGGTCTTTGAAGTATCTTAAGCAAAGAAGCAACACAACATAATTTGTGTTTTAGAGTGATCATTCTGTGGAAATGTGAAGAATGGATACTGGAATCCTAAAGGCAGAGAGACCAATTTGAAGAGTACTCCTTTTTTTTTTTTTGCTTTTATGTTTTATTTTTTTATTTTTATTTTTTATTATACTTTAAGTTTTAGGGTACATGTGTACAATGTGCAGGTTTGAAGAGTATTTCACTGGTACAGGAAGAAATGAATAGAGCTTAAACTAAATCAGTACCAACAGCGTTAAAGGAGAGAGGAAAGATAAGAAATGTTAATGAGGTAGCATTGCCAGTTGCTGATCACCAAGCATATTTTAGGATTGAGAAAAACAGAGGGGTTGGGAATGATTCCAGCCTTCTAGATTACTATGAAATCTTTCAGCAGTAGTTCATGTGTATAGGGAATGTGGGAGATAGGTCAGGCTTAAACAGTTTGGATAGGTTGATTTTAAGAACTCTGTCAGATACTCAGCTAGTAGATACTCAGCTAGTAGATACTCACTCCATCCAGTAGACAATTGGAATATGAGTCTGAAGCTCAGAAGAAAGGTCTAATACTTTAAGTCCTTGCCCAGACTAAGCTTGACCTGATGTTTCCTAAATGTGTTCAGGACTTTTGAAATCTTAGGCTCACTGACTGCTTGTATAAAAATAAGCCTCTAAACTTGCCAGGAATTTGATAAACTCACCTTCCTCTCAGGGATGATAGGCTTGGTCTAGCTGATTTGGAAAAGACATTGTGTTCAGTAAACCAACCTTAAAATACAATTAATCTCAGCTCTGCCATTAATTTTCAATGTGACCTTAGGTGCTTATTTAACTTTCCTGTGTTTTAGTGTCCCCAGCTGCAAAATGCAAATACTTCAATACAGGCTAACACACCATGTCAAAGGAAAGAAAACTAATATAAACTGTACTAAAGTGCTTAGTAAATAGAAAATCGTATATAAATGCTAATATATTTCCCCATATTTTTACTGTGCTGGTAATAGTTTTTAGAAAGGAAAGCGGTGACAGGCACAAAGTACTACTCTACCATTGGTTGCAAAGCGAAAGAAAAAAAAATGGAATAAAATGCACATATAACTCCCCCTAATACATTATCTATATATTATCTGGCACATTTCACCAATGACTAAAATAACACATATGAATTACTATGAGCTACCATGATTGAACTGTAAAATCATCAGCTGCTATTCTATCTTGTGAAAAATTACAGTCCTGGCCAGGTGTGGTGGCTCATGCCTGTAATCCCTCTGCACTTTGGGAGGTCAAGGCAGGAGGATCACCTGAGGTCAGGAGTTCTTGACCAGCCTGGCCAACATGGCAAAACTCCATCTCTACTAAAAATACAAAAATTAGCAGGGCTTATGTTGTGCTCCTGTAGTTCCAGCTACTCAGGAGGCTGAAGCAGGAGAATTGCTTGAACCCGGGAGGCAGAAGTTGTACTGAGCTGAAGTCACATTACTGCACTCTAGCCTGGGCCTGGGCAACAGGAGACTCCGTCTAAAAGAAAAACAACAACAACAAAAAACTACAGTCCCGCTTGTGACACTGTGGTATTTATTTCATGTGGAAGCTAGAGTGCCCAAATAACTAATAAGTAAATGTTAGAGTAGGGATTTTGCTGCAGGAGTCCTTGGCACTTCAAGGTACTTTCAACCAATGTACTGTAAACTGTAGTCTCCAAGAGGAAGAGATTATTTAGATGTTATTTTCTAATTATCTACTGCATACAATACATTGACATGGAAAGGATTTGGACCCCAAGGCTGTTTCTCTTGTATAAGACATACGTCTTACAGCCCCACAGAACCACTAATCTTCTATAAGAAAATAGAACTTGTAATGCTATCAATCATAATAGCGTTCTAGTATTGCTTTTAAGTAGGGAAAATGCTAGGGGAGAAACAGTGTTGGCAGAAGATTCCTTGGCTGATTATTGCAATATGTGTCCTTTTTGAATAAGGAGACCCTACCCTTTGGCTTTACATCTACTTTTATCATTTAATAAAATAACTATACAAGGCACTTCCTTGTATCTCAAGTTTGTAATAAAAGAGTTGTAAAACTGGAGGGTGAGCTATAATTTACCTTTGCATTTATGGGAAAGGTATGACTAAAACATCCAGGTTTGATAAAAGAAATTCAGATAAATTTTAAAAAGCAAGAGCCTACTGTATTAGTCCATTTTTGTGTTGCTATAAAGAAATACCTGGGGCTGGGTAATTTATAAAAGAAAAAAAACGAGGTTTGCTACTTGGTGAAAGAAGGAGCAAGAGAGAAGTGGGGGAGTTCAATGGTCTTTTAAACAACCAGATCTCATGTGAACTCAGAGTTAAAGCTCACTTATCACCAACAGGATGGTGCCAAGTCATTCATGAAGCATATGCCCCCAAGATCCAAACACCTCCCACCAGGCTCTACCTCCAACACTGAAGACCACATTTCAACATGAGATTTGAAAAGTACATATACCAAACCCTATTATTTCAACCCTGGCCTCCAAAATCTCATGTTTATCTCACACCACACAATACAATCATCCCTTCCCATAGTCTACCAAAGTGTTAACTCATTCCAGCACCAACTCCAAAGTCCTAAGTCTCATCTGAGACTCCTTTCTTTCCACCTATGAACTGTAAAATTAAAACATGTTATTAGTTCCAAGATACAATGGGGATATAGGTATTGGGTAAGTATCATTTGATAAATGATATTTTTCCCATTCCTGGAGGGAGAAATTGGCCAAAAGAAAGGGGCTATGGGCCCAATGAAAATCTGAAACCCAGCAGGGAAGTCAATAAATCTTAAAGCTCTAAAATAACCTCCTTTGGCTCCATGTCCCTCATCCTGGGCACACCCCGGTGTGAAAGATGGGCTTTCAAGGACTTGGGCAGTTCTGCCCTTGGGGCTTTGCAGGGTACAACCCTCATGACTTCTCTCATGGGTTGGAGTTGAGTGACTGCTGCTTTTCCAGGCTCACAGTGAAACCTGCCAGTACATATACCATTTTAAGGTCTGGAAGGCAGCAGCCCCATTCCCACAGATCCACTAGGCAGTCTGGGTGGTGCTCTAACCCCACATTTCCTTTTGGGACTGCCCTAGTAGAAGTTATCTGCGTGTGGCAGGCTTCTGCCTGGGCACAAAGGCTTTCCCATATATCTTCTGAAATCTAGGTGAAAGTTGCCAGGCATCCTTCACTCTTACGTCTGCACAATTACAGGCTTAACACCATGTTGAAGCTGACAAGACTTATGGCCAAAAACTTCTGGAGCTGTGGCCCAACCTGTACCTGGGGCCTTTTGAGCCAGAGCTGGAGCTGGAGCAGCAGAGATGTAAGGACCAGCCTCCCAGGGTGGCACAGGGCATTGATGCTCTGGGCTTGGCCCACAGAACCATTCTTTCCTCCTAGGCCTCTGAGCTGGTGATGGGAGGGGCTACCTCAGAGATCTCTGAAATGGCTTCAAAGCCTTTTGCCCATTGTCTTGCCTATTAACACTTGGCTGTCTTTTAGTCATGCTAATCTCTACAGAAAGTGGTTGCTTCACAACCTGCGTGGATTCTTCCCCTGAAAGTGATCTTTTCTTTTATACCACATGGCTAAGCTATAAATTTTCCAAATTTTTACACTGTACTTACATTTTAAATATAAGTTCAAACTTTAAGTCATTTTTTTTTTTGCTCTTATTACAAAGTACCTATTAGCACAGAAAGAAGTACTATTAGCTATAGGCTGTTAGAAGCAGCCAGACTACCTCTTGAAGATTTTGCTGTTTAGAAATTTCTTCGGCCGGGCACGGTGGCTCACGCCTGTAATCCCAGCACTTTGGGAGGCCGAGGCGGGTGGATCATGAGGTCAGGAGATCGAGACCATCCTGGCTAACAAGGTGAAACCCTGTCTCTACTAAAAATACAAAAAATTAGCCGGGCGCAGTGGCGGGCGCCTGTAGTCCCAGCTACTCGGGAGGCTGAGGCAGGAGAATGGCGTGAACCCAGGAGGCGGAGCTTGCAGTGAGCCGAGATTGTGCCACTGCAGTCCGCACGCAGTCCAGCCTGGGCGACAGAGCGAGACTCCGTCTCAAAAAAAAAAAAAAAAAAAAAAAAGAAATTTCTTCAGCCAGATATCCTAAGTCATCATCCTTAAGTTCAAACTTCCAGAGATCCCTAGGGCATGAACACAATGCAACCAAGTTCTTTGCTAGGATGTAACAAGGGTGACCTTTGCTGTAGGTCCCAATAAGTTCCTTATTTTCATCTGGGACCTCATTAGCCTAGCCTTCACTGTCCATATTTCTGTTATAACCATTGAATCAGTCTCTAAGAAGTTTCAAGCTTTTTCTCATCTTCCTGTCTTCATCTGAGCCCTCCAAACTCTTTCAAACCTCCAATTACCCAGTTCCAAAGCTGCTTCCATGTTTTCAGGTATCTTTATAGCAATGCCCCACTCATCAGAACAAATGTTCTGTATTAGTCCATTTTTGCATTGTTATAAAGAAATACCTGAGGCTGGGTAATTTATAAAGAAAAGAGGTTTAATTGGCTCGTGGTTCTGCAGGCTGTACAAGCATGATGCCAGCAGCTGCAGGGCTTCCGGGGAGACCTCAGGGAAGATTTTACTCATGGCAGAAGGGAGCAGCCATGTCACATAGAGAGAGTGAGAGAAAGAGAAAGAAGGAGCAGGTCTCACAGCCTGTGAAACAACCAAATCTCATGTGAACTCAGAGTGAGAGCTCACTTATCACCAAGGGAATGGTGCCAAGCCATTCATGAGACATCCACCCCCATGATCAAAACACCTCCCACCAGGGCCCCACCTCCAACACTAGAGACCACATTTCAGCAGGAGATTTATAGGGGACACATATCCACACCATACCAGTTACAGAGCACAACTGCCATTTTATATCTGCAAGATTTTATTTCTCTCAAAGTTTCATAAAGAATTCTGACATCAGCTGAATAATGAAAATGATGGAAACTTATAGAACAAAAATTGACATAGGTATTTTACCTATATTACCTTGTTCAATTCTATATTAGGAGATAGACTATTTTACAGATTATGAAATGGAGGCAAAAAGACTTTAAAGTATCTTCAACTGCATATCCTATCTCTATCATATTGAGCCTTGGTGATAACAAAGTAATCCTTTTCCTCCATAAATTTTCCCTAGACCTAATCTCTAGCACAGAGAAGTAGAAGGAAGAACAATTGGTAAAATTCTGTGTTCTAGCTGAGGTGCTCCCATTTATTAAGTACGTTAGATGAATTACAACTTTATATGCAAAACAAAGATTGAATAAAATCTTTGTTACTTCCTTTACCATCCTCCCATATATACCTATTGCACACTGAAATTTTTAAATTAAAAAAAAATGAAAAACACTGTCACCTTACTTCAACTAACACCCTAATATCTTATTACAGCAAAAGATTGGAAATGGCCTTTTAATCTCTTGTTCTCACCTACCAATATATTTCCAGAGGAGTATAGAAGGAATAGCAATATCTTTGATTCTCAGGTCTGATACTTTTTTGAAATAGACATTTTTTTCATAGCAGTTACACAATAGGGAAAATAGCTTAATATAGCATTAATTCCTAAGTACCCTTTCCAGCCAAGGTTTGCTGGAAAGTAACATCACTTTCACCCCAGATCTCTGTCAAAATGCAAAAATAATAAACAAATTACTGCATTTGTTATGTTGACCATTTTAATACTTTTATTTGGAAGATATTTTTATTTAGCTTGTATATCTGAATAAATTTTGCTATTGGTATTCTATTCCGCAGAACACCAGATGGCTAAAACACAGAAATGACACCTGCAGAAAAAGTTAAATAAAGAAGGAATATTCCCTAAATTTTGCCTTCTTGTGGCTGCCAGCTGTGCACATAGTACATGCAAGAGAAGTATAATCTACAATGTTGGTTTCCTTAAAGAGACAATGGGAAGTTGTTAGCAGAGTGTCCAGAGACTCATCAAATATTAAATCATAAAGAATGGAAGCAGAAACCATATCTGGTTATTACTTGCAGCATTGGCAGTGCTAGGGGATTAGACTAAGACTCTGCCATCTGTGGGCTTGTTTGAAGTACAAGTGCTGCCATTGACCTGTAATGATTTAATATTACCCACGGGAGTGCAGAGAGTGCAGACACATATGGGGTGAATTTGTACAGAAAAGAAAAAGGAACAGGAATAAAATACAGAACTTGCTAGTTGGTCAAGTGCTATGATTCTAGACGCTCAAGTGCTGTGCCTCTGGATGGTCTTATTAAATTAACAGATTCAAGGGGATAACAAATGTTTTCTTAGCTCATGGCTCTATAGCTGTAGATCATCAGATTTCTTGTAGATCTTTCAATTGATGTGATTATTTGTGGGTTAGTGTATATAGCATATTTCTTGTAGAGTTACATGTGCTGGCTTGCTATCATTTGTCATGTAAACTTACTATTAGAGTCAACTATCATTTGAATTACTTCATCTAATTTCAAATACTTCACAGGACAAAGTATAAAGCCATGGCCTACTTTTATACTAGGTCTTGAAGAAGAAAATATCCACTACTTAAAAACTAAACAAAATTGAACTAAATGCATTTAGCTAGCGAAGCCTCTTTTTAAAAGGCTAGAAGTGATGCCAGCCAGCAATATAGCTGCATAGAAAGCCCTCTTCTTTCCCTCAACAAACATACCAATTCAGCCAAACTTCCTGGACAAATTGCCTTTGTGAAAAAGCAGAAACTAACTGAAAGTCTTCTGCTCTCTGGGAGAATGTAAAACTAGACTAACTGAAGACAGTAGGAAGATATGGGACACCTTATTGCCAGAGACACTGTCCCTGATGCAGACATGTGATTAGAAAGAGACGCCTAGCTCCCAGCTTCACTCAGGGGAGGAAAGGGACTGTTTCATGCATCATCATTCCAACTTTTCCAAGTGGAGGAGCTCCCCAGAAAAAGGCTTTTGTATTGCCACACTTGGAGCTCTGACAGTTTCAGCATAGTCAAGGCACCCAAGGGAAAATAGAGGCAGCAGTGTGGGGTCATAGACACTATTAATTATTCCCCTGCCCAGCACAGATTGAGAAAACAAAAAAGAGTGCCAGCCCTCAGCTTCCTCCCTAGAGAGGAAAAGAGTTCATCTATGTTCCCAACACCCCAACTTCTTTGATGCTTCCGAAAGAACTAGCATCTGTCTCTTCAGTCTTGAAGCACTGGCAAACCTATCACAGTCTAGCCACCCAGGGAATAACAGAGATGATGGCTTGGGCTGATATATGTCATAGTTTCTCCCTCAGCTTGGCTTAACACAGAGAAAACAGACAAAAAAACTACAGCTATCTGCCTCTTTCTTGGGAATAAAATAGTTGATGCAGGTAGAAGTTGTTCAGGATTTCTAGTAGAGCTGACTTGTGAGACTCTTCTCCTATATGATATAAGTCATTAACACTGGGAGAGGTTCCTGATTTGTCTAATGTGCACCCACAAATAAAGTCAAAGAAAATAAAGAATCAGGCAAAGATGGGCCAAACATAAGAATGAGGTAAATCTCCAGAAAACAATCATAAAACAGGATTACATTGTTCACCTGACAGAGAATTCAAGATAATTGTCATAAAGATGTTCACCAAAGTCAAGAGAATAATACATGAACAAAGTAATAATTTGGATAAAGAGACAGAAAATGTATAAAAGTACCAAATGGAAATCATGGAGCTGGAGAATGGCAATAACTGAACTAAAAACCTTAGTAGATGAGTTCAATGGCAGACTAGATTGAGGTTATGAAAAAATTAGTGAACTTAAAGATCGGTCACTGGAAATAATTTAGTCAGAGAATCAAAAAGAGTAAGGAATAAAAAAGAGATAAGAAGGCTTAAGGGAATCATGGGAGACCATTTAGTGAACCAGTAAACATATTATGGAAGTTCCAGAAATAGGAGAGAGGGAATGAAGACCAGAAAGAATATTCAAAGAAATAATGACTAAAAACTTAAAATTTGTGGAAGGTAATGAACATACAGATCCAAGAAGATTAAAGAAGAAACCACCAAATAAGATATACAAAAAAAATTCACACCAAGATACATTACAATCAATTGGTCAAAAGTCAAAGAAGAATTTTGAAAGGAGAAAAGCAACTTATACAATGAAACTTAAATAAGATTATCATCAAATTAGTCAGCAGAAAGTTTGCAGGCCAGAAGTGAATGAAATTATATATTTAAAGTGGTGAAAAGAAAAAAAAATCTTGCCAACTAAAAAAACTATACCCAGCATAAAGACCTTCTCATACAAACAAAAACTAAGAGAGTTCATCATTACAGGACTATTCTTAAAAGAAACTTTTTAAGTTGAAAGGATGCTAAGCAACAACATGGAGGCTTTCATAAGAACGTAGGAAACTCATCAGTAAAAATAAACATGCAGACAAATACAAAATATGGTAATAGTAAATCATTTAATTCTAGTACAAAAGTTAAAAAACAAAGATGGTTAAATATACACTACATGAATAGATGTAAATTGTGATAACAGCAACAAAGTGTGCATTGAGGGAAAGGAAATGCAGAGTTTTTGTTGCAATTGAACTTAGTTGTTATTAGTTTACAGTAGACTATTATAGCTATAAAATATTTTATGTAATCCCAAAAGTAACTAAAAAATAATACCTATGAAATTATGTAAAAGAAAAAGAGAACAAAGATCAAAGCATATTAATAGAAGAATCAACAAAACAGAGGAAGGCAGCAAGGGAGAAAAACAAAAACATAAGAACTACAAGACTAACAACAACAACAAAAAAACTAACAATAAGGCAATAGTAAATTTCTTCTATTAATAATTACCTTAAATGTAAGTATATTGAACTCTCCAATCAAGTTGGCTCTTTAGAAAGATAAACAAAGATAAAATGGAGAAACCTCTAGCTAGACTAAGAAAAAAAGAGAAAACCCAAATAAAATCAGAGATTAAAAAGGACATATTACAACTGACAGCATAGAAACCCAAGGAATAGCAGACAATATGAACAACCATATGCCAGTAAATTGGAAAACCTAGAGAAATGGATAAATTCTAGGCACACAAAACCTACCAAGATTTAACTATGGAGAAATCCAAAGCTTCAATAAACTAATAACAAGCAATGAGACAGAAGCCATAATAAAAATTTCCCATCAAAAAAAGCCCAGAACCTGACGTCTTTACTGATGAATTCTACCAAACATTTAAATAAATAATATCAATCTTTCTCAACCTATTCGAAAAAGTTGAGTAGGAGAAAATACTTGTAAACTCCCATCAGAAAAAAAAAAAACTAGGCTTAAAGTTAAAAACTGTTCACAAAACACAAAGAACGACATTTTATAATGATAAAAGGGTGAACCTACTAGGAAAATATAACAATTTAAATTTATATGTACTCAATTACAGAGCACATAAATAAACAAAGAAAACACTGACAGAACTGAAAGGAGAAATAGACAGCTATACAATGATAGTAAACGAGTTCAGTATTCCACTTGCAATAGTGGAGAAAACATCCAGACAGAAGAGGACTAAGGAATTAATAAGGAAAAGAGGGCTTTAACACCATAGAACAAATGAACCCAACAGACATACATACATAGAATATTTTCCCCCACAAAAGCAGAATTCAAATTTCTTTAAAGCAAACACAGATTGCTCAATGAAAGATTATATATTAGGTCACAGAACAAGTATTAACACATTTATAAAGATTGAAATCACACCAAGTATCTTTTGAGAATGAAACTAGAAATTAGGCTGGGTGAGGTGGCTCATGTCTGTAATCCCAGCAGTTTGGGAGGCCAAGGCAGGCAGATCACTTAAGGTCAGGAGTTCGAGACCAGCCTGGCCAACATGGTGGAACCCCACCACTACTAAAAATACAAAAATTAGCCAGAAATTCCTTGAACCTGGGAAGCACATGTTGCAGTGAGCCTAGATTGCACCATTGCACTCCAGCCTGGGTGACAGGAAGAAACTCTGTCTCAAAAAAAAAAAAAAAAAGCTAGAAATTTATAGTGGAAGGAAAACTGGAGAATCACAAATATGTGCAAATTAAACAATACACTCATCAATAACCATTGGGTCAAAGAAAAAAACAAAAAAAATTTAAAAAATTAAAAATACCTAAAGACAAATTAAACACACACACACACACACACACACACACACACACACACACACACAACCTCAAACATACCAAAATTCACGGGATGAAGCGAAAGCAGTACTGAGAAGGAAATATATAGCAGTAAATACCTACATTGAAAAATAAGAAAAATTTGAAATAAATGACTTATCTTTGTATCTCAAAGGACTAGAAAAATAGGTACAAAGTAAGCTCAAAGTTAGCAGAAAGAAGGAAATAACAAAGATTAGATCAGAAATAAATGAAGTAACAAATAGAAAAGCCATAGAAAAATCAACAAAACTAAGAGTTGATATTTTGAAAAGATCCTAAAAATTTACAAATCTTAGCCAGACAAATAAAGAAAAGACAGAAGATTTAAATAAAGAAAATCAGAAATGAAAGAAGAGACATTACAACTGATGCATAGAAATACAAAAGATCATAAAAGACTACTATAAACAATTATACTCAAACAAATTAGATAACCTGAAAGAAATGAGTGAATTCCTAGAAACATACAACCTGCCAAGACTGACTCATGAAGAAAAAGACAGTATTTTAATGGAGCAATAACTATCATAGAGATTGAATCAGTAATCAAAGTCTTGCAACAAAGAAAAGCCAGAAATCAGGTGGTTCCACTGGTGAATTCAACAAATACTTTTGGAAGAATTAATGCTAATTCACCGTAAATTCTTTAAAAAAAAATGAAGAAGCAGAAACACTTCCAAACACATTTTACAAAACCAGCATAATATCCTGTAACAAAGTCAAAGATACCACAAAAAAAAGCTATAGGCCAATAAGTTTAATGAATAAAGATGCAAAAATCCTTAACAACAAAATGAATGCAACAGCACATTAAAAGGATAATACATCACAACCAACTGGATTTATCCATGGCATGGAAGGATAATAATAATCAATTGCTCAATATATAATCAATATATTAATATTACATAATATAATAATTGATAATGTGATCTAGCACATTAACATAAAAATGATTAAAACTCCATTTTTTAATTTTCAGGCTGTTTATTAATGTCTTTGAAACAATTTATGAATTTAGAGAATATTCAGCGTACTTCAAAAGAGATACCAAGCCTTACAAGGTACTGTCTCCCAGAAGAAGCATAATTGCATACTTAATTGCACATTTTCTGTAATCAGGTAGATTTAGATTTTCTTTTTTTAACTTTTATTTTAGGTTTGGGGGTACATGTGCAGGCTTGTTATATAGGTAAAATTATGTCATGGGCTTTTGCTGTACAGATTATCTCATCACAGATACTAAACCTAGTACCTTGTTTCTTCTGTTTCTCTTTCTCCTGCCACTCTCCATCCTGAAGCAGGCCCCAGTGTCTGTTGTTCCCTTCATTGTGTTCATGAGTTCTCATCATTTAGCTCCCACTTATAAGTGAGAACATGATGTATTTGGTTTTCTGTTCCTGCATTCATTTGCTAAGAATAATGGCCTCCAGCTCCATCTCTGCCCAACAGAAGACATGATCTCATTGTTTTTATGACTGCATAATATTCCCTTTGAAAACCGGTACAAGACAAAATGCCCTCTCTCACCACTCTTATTCAACATAGGACTGGAATTCTAGCCAATCCGGCAAGAGAAAGAAATAAACAGCCTTCAAATAGGAGGAGAGGAAGTCAAAATATCCCCCTTGCAGATGACATGAGTCTACATCTAGAAAACCCCATATTATCAGCCCAAAACGCTCTTCCAGCTATAAACGAGCAAAATTTCAGGATACAAAATCAGTGTTCAAAAATCACTAGCATTTCTGTACACCAAGAATAGCCAAGCCAAGAGCCAGATCAGGAATGCAATCTTATTCACAATTTCCACAAAAAGAATAAAATACCTAGGAATACCGCTAACCAGGAAGGTGAAAGACCTCTACAATGAGAATTACAAAACACTGCTCAAAGAAATCAGAGATGACACAAACAAATGGAAAAACATCCCATGCTCATGGATAGGAAGAATCAATATCATTAAAATGGCCATAATTTAATGGCCATACTAAAATAGCCAAAGCAATTCATAGATTTAATGCTATTCCTATCAAATTATCATTGGCATTTTTCACAGAACCAGAAAAAAACTATTTAAAAATTCATATAGAACCAAAAAAGAGCCTGAATATCCAAGGAAATCCTAAACAAAAAAGCAAAGCTAGAAGTATCATGTTACCCAACTTCAAACTATACTACAGAGCTACAGTAACCAGAACAGCATGATACTGGTACAGAAACACGCACATAGACCTATGGAACAGAATAGAGAGCCCAGACATAAAGTCACACATCAACAACCATCTGATCTTCAACAAAGCTGACAAAAACAAGCAATGGGGAAAAGACTTCCTATTCAATAAGTGGTAATCAGATAACTGGCTAGCGATATGCAGAAGATTGAACCTGTACCCCTTCCTTACACCATACACAAAAATAAACTAAAAATGGATTAAAGACTTAAATGTAAAACCAAAAAGTATAAAAACCCTGGAAGACAACCCAGGCAATACTATCCTGGACATAGGAAAGGGCAAAGATTTCATGATGAAGAAAACAAAATCAACTGCAATAAAAGCAAAAATGACAAGTGGCATCTAATCAAACTTAAGAGCTTCTGCACAGCAAAGAAACTTATCAACAGAGTAAACAGACCACCTACAGAATGGGAGAAAGTTTTTGCAAACTATGCATCTGACAAAGGTCCAATATCTAGCACCTATAAGGTACTTAAGCAAATTTACAAGAGAACAACAAGCCCATTAAAAAGTGAGCAAAGACATGAACAGACATTTTCAAAAAAAGATATACATGCAGACAACAAATATATGAAAAAAAGCTCAATATCACTGATTGTGAGAGAAATGCAAATCAAAACAATCTGGTTTTAATTTGGTTTTAATCTGGTTTAATTTGTTGTGAGATCATAACACATCAATGATATGGCTATTACTAAAAAAAGCAAAAATAAAATTTAAAAATGAATGGCTATTATTAAAAGTCAAAAAATAACAGATGCTGGCAAAGTTGCAGAGAAAAGGGAACATTTATACACTGTTGGTGGGACTGTAGATCAGTTCAACCATGTGGAAAGCAGTATGGCGATTCCTCAAAGAGCTAAAAGCAGAACTACCATTAGACCCAGTAATCCCATTTCTGGGTATATGTACCCAGAGGAATATAAAGCATTTTATCATAAAGACACATGCACACAAATATTCGTTGCAACACCATTCACAATAGTCCATTTTTAATCTTGTCTTGGATCTTGTTGAGCTTTCTTGCAATTCATTCTTTGAAATCTTTATCTGTCATTTCTGAGTTTCCATTTTGGTAAGGTTCCATTGCTAGAGAGCTATTATGATCCTTTGGTGGCATCATTACATTTAAATTTTTCATGGTGCCACAATTATTGCTCTGGTTCTTTATCGTGGGACACTGGCACTTCTAATTTTTGTAATTTTTTTTTTTTTTGAGATGGAGTCTAGCTCTGTCGCCCATGCTGAAGTGCAGTGGTGTGATCTCGGCTCACTGCAATCTCTGCCTCCTGGGTTCCAGCGATTCTCCTGCCTCAGCCTCCAGAGTAGCTGGGATTGCAGGTGCCCACAGCCACACCAGGCTAATTTTTTTGTTTTTAGTAGAGACAGGGTTTCACCATTTTGGCCAGGCAGGTTTCAAACTCCTGACCTCAAGTGATCCACCCACCTCAGCCTCCCAAAATGCTAGGATTACAGGCATAAGCCACCACGCCCAGCCAATTTTTGCAATTATTTTTATGTGGGTAGAATTTTTTTCTTTCTTTCCCTATAATATTATTGGTGTTATTTTCCTTCCCTTGCTCTACACCTCACCCCCACCCAGGTGGGTATGACTGTAGAGAATGTTGGTTAGGGGTTTTTGGCTCTGCTTTCATAGCCCTATGCACTTCTATTGGCAGGTTTTATATTGGGCTGTGTAGTTCAACCTGTTTGCCAGTATATGGCACTTATGGGTAAGCCAGCTGCAACCAACATGGCTGGGTATATAATTGATCCTTGTTTACTGGGAGAAGCTCTCTGTTATCTCAGGCAATGGGCTGATCTGTGGAGTGCATAGTGGTCAGATATTCCTACTAAGCCTCAGGGAATCAAGGCCAAATGGGTGGGAACAGACCAGGCTGAGCTACCCACAGGTAACCTTTTGGCAGACACAAAAACCAGTGCCAAGGGTGAATCCAGTAGGCAGCCACCAAGCACTCAGAAGTGTGACAAAGCATTGAGTTGGGTCATCCTTGGGTCCAAGTTCTCTGCATGGGGAGTAGGTCCGTGGCCTAATCCAGTAGAGTGGATACTCTAGATGCCTGAAGATCTGCCTGGGCATAGAGTATACAGGACCCCGCCACACCACAATCTCTGCACAGGATGAACCACGGTGAAGCAGAGCCTTCTCCGCCCCATGTCCAGCCAGATTCACCATGGTCTCTGCACAGGTTGGGATGGGTGGTTCAAGCTGCTGATCTATGTAAATGGGTGCACCATATTCCTAGAGATATGCCTGGGCATGGAGTGGAGAGGGCCCTCTTGCACCAGGATCTCTGAACAGGGGGTTGGGGTAATTCAGGCTGCTGAACCAGGCAAGCAGGTGTTCCAAATGCCGGGACGTCAGCCTAGTTTTGCAGTGCAGCGGGTCCCACTGCACCATCATCTATATACCTAGGAAGGATGGGACAACTCAGGCTGCCAAACCAAGCAAGCAGGTGCTCTGAATGCCTGGATCTATCCTGGGCATGACATGAAGAGGGCCCCACTGCACCATGATCTATGCACAAGAAGGGTGGGGTGGCTCAGGCTGCTGGTCCATGAAAGCGAATGCTCTGAATGCCTGGAGTTCTGACCTGGATTGAGGCAGAAAGGGTTCCCTGCACCACAATCTCAGAGTTGCAGGCTGAGGCACCCAGCAGTGACACACAAAGGCCAGTTCCAGCTTGTCAACTGGCTCTGGTTACCAGTCTTGTTACCCAGGAGAAACCATAGCTGTAGCAGCTCTCTTCCTGCCCCAGTCCTGCAGCAGGTGGACAGCATAATTCCAGTGCCTACTGCTGAGGTACTTTTCAGAATTCTGGCTGTGGAGGTCCCTACCCCATTCAAGAAAAGGTATTCAAACATCTGGTCTGAGACTAAAATACCTGCATAGCCACACTTCCAGTTAACTGACGAATAAGTTACTTTGTATGTGCTCAGATTAAAAATGGCATTCTGTTCTTGGTCTCAGGTCTGGGAAAATGCCTGCAGTTTTACTGGTGCCTTTTCCTCTAAGTGTCCCCAAGCTTGTCCCCAAGTTAGTTCCAGAACTTTGCAGAAAAAAAGTGCTGTCCCTTAGCCTGGGTTCCCCAGATCCCTGGTGGAAAGGGGAGTTACAGAGGAAATCCCTCTGCCTTTCTTATGTACTGGGGCTTCACTCACTTTTATCAGCCAGATGCTGTTATGGGGGCTGTTTCCCCGCATTCTCATCCTCAGGATCTGGTGTGTCCTTCACAATTCCAGTAGATTCCCATTATACTTCTTGAATTAAAGCTCACAGAATGTATCTCTATGCACTATCTTGTTATTTCCAAGTGGCCGAAGCACATTAAAATCTCTAACCCACCATCTTGGAAAAAAAGACAAAAATAAACTAAAATCTATTTATTGTCTTTAAAATTCAGGAAAAAACATTTGACAAAATTCAGCATCTTTCATGGTAAAAACTCAACAAACTAGGAATAGAAAAAATAAATGTCAACTCACTAAGGCCATGTATGAAAAGAACACATCTAATATCATACTCACTGGTGAAAAACTGAAAACCATTCCTCTAAAATCAAGAACACAACTCTTACAGCTTTGATTCAACATAGTACTAAAATTCCTAGCCAGAGCAATACAAAAAGAAAAGAAATGAAAAGCATACAAATAAAAAATGAAGAATTAAAGTATTTTCATTTGCAGACATACTCTTACACATAGAAATTTCTAAGAATTTCACTAAAAACTGTTAGAACTAATAAATTAGTAAACTTGCAGGATACAAAATTAACATACAAAAATTCATTGCTTTTCTATTCAGTAACAGTAAAGTATCAGGCAAGAAAACTAAGAAAGCAATTCCATTTACAATAGTACCAAAAGGAAGTAAAAACCCCTACAAACCTTCTTCAGTAGCTCCAACTCCGACAATGTCTTTTGCAATCATGCGTACCTTAAAAAAAATCATTTCAGGGTATTGTGCACATGTGCCCTAAAACTTAAAGTATAATAATAATAAAATAAAATAAAATAAAAATCATTTCAGTGAGGGCCTTCCTTCTCTGAATAGCCTCACTGAGTTTCTAACTATTTAACAGGCACTTTTGCACCATGTCATTTTTCTCCTATTATTCCAAGGTAACATGTATTTACTTTAAGAAGGGTCTCATGTAAGCATAACAAATAAAATTTAGGCCGGACTGCTTTGTGGGAACAGAAGACTTTGGAACCTCATTCCTCAGGAAATAATTTTATTTTAAGCATTTTCCTGGACATATGCCCATTCTATGTTATTCTTCATCTTCCTCTTCTTTTCCTACAATTACTCTACTATTAGAACTACTGGTACGCAAGTGTTTCTCTTTCAGTAGAACACATTTTGTTCCTCTTGTCACTAAACAAAAATGGAAAGATCTCAACTAAAGCCTGGCTAACATTGAAATATATCACCCTTCCTTGCTGAGTTTTCACTTTATTATTTTTGTAAATGAATTCTTGATAGGATACCCAAAGAAAATGTTATGCATCAATGGCTTTTAATTTCATAAACTTACGTTTGTCATAGCTGTCCTATAAATTTCTTCAACCACAAACACTTTTAGTTAGTGAAGCTCACAAACAATTGCTTTTTCAGAGTCATTTAATTCTTATGTTACAGTAAGAAATCAGCTCTCCTGGATAGGCGATAGTGCACTATAGGCTCTTTTCTTTCACTATTGACATTTTTACACATATATATTTAGAGAAGAAAAGAATAAGTAATAAATTCCCATTGTAGAAAATATGAAAATGCAAATCAGCAAAAATAAAAGTAAATTAAAATTATTGTCACTGTTAACCATGCAGAAAAAATAGCCATTATGTTTTCGAGTATCTCCTTCAAGATGTATCTATCTATCTAACATTCTTCTTGATTTTTCACTTCATGTTATTTCTTACATTTATTCAATAAATATGCATTCAGTAACTACCATGTTTCAGGTCCCCTGTTGGGCACTTAGAATAAATAAAAATTATGTGGCTCTGCCCATTTAGCCCTTTAGAGTAGTAAACAATGCAAAACAGCATCAAAACAGAGTAATAAAGCAGTGCAGATTTTTTGAATTTTTAATTTTTGTAGGTACATAGTAGGTATAGTTATGGGATATATGACATATATTGATACAGGCATGCAATGTGTAATAATCACATCCATGGAAAAGAGTATATTCATCCCCTGAAGCATTTATTATTTGTGTTGCAAACAATCAAATTACACTCTTTTAGTTATTTTGAAATGTACAATTAAATTATTATTGACTATTGTCACCCCGTTGTGCTATTAAATACTAGTTCTTATTCATTCTTTCTAACAATGTTTTTTGTACCCACTAACAATCTTCACTTCTCCAACCCCAGTACCCTTCCCAACCTCTGCTAACTATCCTTCTACTCTCTATCTCCATGAGTTCAGTTGTTTTCATTTTCAGATCCCACGAAAAAGTGAGAACATGTGATGTTTGTCTTTCTGTGCCTGGCTTGTTTCACTTAATATAATTACCTCCAGTTCCATTCATGATGTTGGAAATGACAGGATATCATTCTTTTCGATGACTGAATAGTACCCCATTCTGTATATGTACCACATTTTCTTTATTCATTTATCTGTTGATGGACACTTAGGTTGCCTCCAAATCTTGGCTATTGTGAACAGTGCTGCAACAAACATGGGACTGCAGATATGTCTTTGATACACTGATTTCCTTTCTTTTGGATATATGCCCAGCAGTGGGATTGCTAGAGTATGGTAGCACTATTTGTAGTTTTTTTTTTTGAGGAGCCTCCAAACTGTTCCCCATAGTGGTTGTGCCAATATGAAATTGGGACAAAATACATTTTTAAAAGTGAAAAAGGAAATATGACAAATTGACTCATGAATCAGAAAATCATTTAATTTCCAAATGGGAAGTGAGGCACATGAGCCTTTACATCTGACTCCCCCAATCTACCTGACATTTCTGTTACCTGTTCACCCAGCCTGGGTTTATCCAGCATAGATGCAAAGAGGACAAGAAAGAGGGTTCTTCTCTCAGGGACACTCATAAACATCTAACAGTGGATTTCCTCCCAATTATTGTCTCATCAGACCAGGAATCCATACACTTTATAGGAGTCATAGAAATATTCTTTACAAATAATGCATTCTTCCATATTTTTTAAAACTATATCAGAGTTTAAGCTTTTAGTACTCCCAGGCTCTGGCATGACACATTTTTTTCTGTCTTCTTAGAACTTTTTCATGAGGCAACATATGCTGTTTAAAAATGGGATCAAGAGCAAAAATTCCAACAAAATTTACGGAAAATCTTCAGTAAATGTAAATCTTCAGTACATACACGTTTGTTCTAGAAGGCAATGTGGCTTTGTTTATCAAAAGCCTTACTCATATGCATATGCTTTCCCCCAGCAATTCAATTTCCAAATTGTTATCATAAAAATAATTATTTTAACTTTTATTTTAGGTTCAAAGTTACATGTACATGTTTGTTATACAGGTAAATTCCATGTTGCGAGGGTTTGGTGACAACTTATTTTGTCACCCAGGTAATAAGCATAGTACCCAATAGGTAGTTTTTCAGTCCTATCCCTCCCCCTACCCTTCACCTTCAAGTAGGCTCTGGGATCTGTTATTTTCTTTGTGTCCATGTGTACTCATTAGCTCCCACTTATATGTGAGAACATGCAGTATTTGGTTTTGTGTCCCTGTGTTAGCTCACTTAGGATACGGGCCTCCAGCTCTATTCATGTTGCTGCAAAGGACATGATCTCATTTTATAAAAAATAATTTTAAGCAGACATAATGATTTAGCTAAGAATGTCCATCATAGCATTATTTATCATTCTGAAAAACTGCAAACATAATTATAATGAATATTTAGTAATATCAATTATGATATATCTATTCAAGGAAACACTATGCAACTATTAGATGAGGTTAGAGATGGATACATTGTCACAAGGAAAAAATGTTTATAATCAGTGGTTTAGTGAAAAAATTAACATAGAACACATTTCTGAAAAAGAAAATTTTAATATATATATAGACATTTTAATAGTGTTTATGCCAGATTAATGGTATTGTCAGTGATTTTTATTTTCTTCTTATTGTTTATCAGCTTTCTGGGGGTTTTTTTTGTCAGCAGTAATATTTGTCAATTGGTAAAATACTCTCTGCTATCACACTGCATGTTCTCACTTATAAGTAGGAGCTGAACGATGAGAACAGCTCATCAGTGTGGGGGAACAAAACACACTGGGCCTGCTGGGATGGAGAAGGGGAGGGAGACCATCAGTAAGAAATGAAAATGAATGCTGAGCTTAACACCTAGGTGATGGGTTGATCTGTGCAGCAAACCACAATGGCACACATTTACGTCTGTAACAAACCCACACATCCTGCACATATATCTCAGAAATTAAGCTGAAGAAAAAAGAAAGATTCTCTGTTACCAAATATGAACTGAATAACTTTTCAAAGGAGAAGAAATTTTCTGAGAATAATATAGCATGTCATGTTTTTTGATTGTAGGAAGATTTGAGAGACTATCCCATTTTTATTCAATTGTCATTATATCTGTGCTGTGGCTTTGATGTTACCATACAGCTTCACATATATTTCTTAATCCTCAAAACTCCTCCCTGTGTGATGTATAGCAGGTATTTTTGTTCTTATTTCATATATAAGAAAACTGGGCCTGTGTGATGTGTTATGATTTGCCCTTTGTCACTCAGCATGTAGGTCATGATGTATGCTGCCCCCAAGTTCAGTGCTCTTTCTTACACATCATGTTGTTTCACAGGAAATTTGTTCATACGCCATTTGAGAAAGAAGATAGTACAATCTAATTATTATTATTATTCATAGGTGCTGGAAAATTGCACAGATATTTCAATCACAGGAATTACAACTACACTAGGTAGATGCCCATGCCTACTAGTAATAAAAAATTTATACTAAAAATATGTGTATTAATACTTCCAAAAATAAGAAAGCAGGAAAAGTAAAGAAGAAAAAAGAAAACTGTTACAGCCCTAAAGGTAGTCATGTATATTCCCTTACTTAATTATAAATTAACCTTATTTAGGATGTACTCTCAAATTTGTTTCAGGTAAAGCATTTTATATGATTAAACTAAAGCTTAAAATTAAGTAATCCACTACAAATGACAGATTCAGCTCTGTGGGTCAGAGGCCAAAGTCAGTGCTTTTCACCACAACCCACGTTTACATGAGTAAGTGTCAATCAGCATGAATCCCTACAACACCCTACAGGATTGGTAAGTGACAAAAACAGAATAGCTATCCCAAACACTCCATGGAATGCCTAAATTAGATGCAATATCAATAAAAATTCTCAATCACTCAGATTCCCCTGAACAGATAAACCAACCTTGTAAGAAATTTGCTGAGTAGAACACAAAATTTTGGCACACATAATGAGCTATTGTACTATTTGTGTTTTTATAATAGTCTTCATGACAATCAAAACCATTTTGTTTAGGACTAACAGCACAATAAGAAAAAAGGAAATAGAGCAATTACATGGATAGGCCAAGTCAGCACATTGCTTTCAACTGAGTTATATAGCAAAGCTGCTTTAGGAACCTAAATTACCTAAACAAGTGTGATTTCCCCCTCTGCCTCATTGCACATTTTTGAATGTCTACACAACCAGGAAAGGTAGTCACATATATCTTTACATGTATGAATATGTAATAGCCCTGAGTTCTACCTGTTCTAAATATAAGATTTATAAATCTAACAAAAAAGAAGGGATCAGATACTGTAGGAAGATGGCAGATAGGAGACAAAGCTAACGCGCAGCTCCCACTTAGATGGACAGACCAGCATGTGAAGAATCACATTATGACATTTTGCTGCAAGAACAACCACAGAATGTACCAGGAAACCAAAGGAATTCATAGATCCTTTGAAAGAAGTGGTATGCTGCTGCAAATTCAACAAGACAGGTGAAAAACTGTAAGTTCCCAAAGTATGAGAGGAGGAAAACCTGCCCCAGAACACACATCCCCACTGGGGAATCTAAAAATCTAGATTACAGGGGAAGAATTTAACCTTACCTGGAGCTGAAACAGATTTTTAGGGAGCCATGCAAAATATAAAGGTAGAAGCAGCAGCAGGAAGAGCGCTCCCAGTTTTCAGCTCTAGCCCAGGGAAGCTATTCCTGACTATATTACACAAGGGCCCATGGGGTAGACAGCCAGCAGAACTAGGGAGAGGTCACAGGTTGAAAAGCTTCCAACTGAAATTTGTAATAATTTTCACTGGGGACAAATATTCTTGAGCAGAATCCGGGGGCAAATGGAAACTGCTGCAGATACCAGCACAAGAGCCACCACCAACAGTGTGGGCAGATGGGGAGGGGTGAGGCCTGAAAGCTGTGCTTGATTTCTCAATGGGGAAGCTTATGGCCTGGGGCAAGCTCTTAGCAGGGCACTGTAGGAGCAAAAACAGCCTTGCCAACTACGTGGAAGCTGGATGAGGCCTTTTGCTACCAGCTACCCCCACTTCCCTGTTAAACTATATGACACAGCAGAGGCAGCAACAGTCCCCTCTGGAACATAACCCCATTGGCCTGAGAACCACCCCCAGTGCCCTGAGAACCACCCCCAGTGCCCACAGTGGCTGTGGCAAGTTCTGCCCAAGAAGAATCTGAGCCCAGACCCACTTAACCCTGCTCCTATCTGATGGTATTTTTCTATCTACCCTGTTAAGATGAACAAAAAGATATAAACTCTTGGGACCCTACCCATTGCCTGAGAAACCAGAATACTCACCCTCGCCAACTTAGGGCAAGCTGAGATCGCCCTGCTACTACCACAGCTGGTGCTCTCTTGAAAGCACCACCTTCTTGCTGGAAACCAACCAACTCGGGACAGTACAGAAACTCATGACAGAATAACCCTGCACTCGGAAAGCAGAAAACAACAGCTAATTGCACTGCCTGAAACATGCTGGCTAACCAGAGGTCCTAAGTCTCTCCACATGACAACTTCACTGCTAGCACAACCAGCAGTTGAGAAAGCCAGCCGACTAAACACAACACATCTACAACTAAGGACTCTCACATCACTCCCATGCCACCTATACCAGAACAGGTGCTGGTATCGATTGCTGAAAGACCTGAATACAGGTCATATCACAGAACTCTTTGCACAAGTTCCTCAGCAGCAACCTGGAGCCTGGTAGCCTCACTGGGTGGCTAGACCCAGAAGAGTAATAACAATCACTAGTCTGGTTCTTAGGAAACCCCATTTCTAGGGGAAGGGGAACGGAGAGCTCTGCACCAAGAGAGCACACCATGGAACAAAAGAATCTGAACAGCAGTCCATGAGTTCAAGATCATTCCACTGAAATAGTCTACCCAAATAAGAAGGAACCAGAAAAGTAATTATGGTAATATGACAAAACAGCATTCTATAAGATCCCCAAGAGATCACACTAGCTCCCCAGCAATGAATCCAAAACAAGAAGAAATCTCTGAATTGCCAGATAAAGAATTCAGAAAGTTGATTATTAAGCTACTCAAGGAGATAAAAAAGAAAGGTGAAAAACAACATAAAGACATTTAAAAAACAACACAGGATATGGAAAAAAATTCTCTAGAGGAACAGATATCATACAGAAAAAACAATCACAACTTCTAGAAATGAAAGACACACTTAGAGAAATATAAAATGCACTGGAAAGTTTCAACAATAGAATTGAACAGAAGAAAGAACTTCAGAGCTCAAATACAAGGCTTTCGAATTAACCCCATCAGACAAAGACAAAGAAAACGGAATGAAAAAAAACAAAGACCCCAAGAAATTTGGAATTATTTTAAATGGCCAAACCTAAGAATAATTGGTGTTCCTGAGGAAAAATACTTATTTGAGGGAATAATTGAGGACAATTTCCATGGCCTTACTGGAGATCTAGACATCCAAATACAAGAAGTTCAAAGAACACCTAGGAAATTCATCACAAAAAGATAATCACCTAGGCACATAGTTATCAGGTTAACTAAAGTCAAGATGAAGAAAAAAAATCTTAAGATCTGTGAAACAGAAGCATCAGGTAACCTATAAAGGAAAACCTACCAGATTAGCAGCAGATTTCTCAGCGGAATACTTAAAAGCCAGAAGAGATTGAGCTCCTATCTTTAGCCTTCTTAAACAAAACAATTATCAACCAAGAGTTTTGTATCCAGCAAAACTAAGCTTCATAAATGAAGGAAAGATAAAGTCTTCTTCAGACAAACAAATGCTGTGAGAATCTGCCACTACCAAGCCAGCACTACAAGAACTACTAAAAGGAGTTCTAAATCTTGAAACAAAAACTTGAAATACACCAAAATAGAAACTCTTTGAAGCATAAATCTTACCCAGCCTATAAAACGCTAACACAACGAAAAAAAAAAACAAGGTATTTAGGGAAAAACTAGCATTATGAATAGAACTATACTTCACATCTCAATACTAACAATGAGTGTAAATGGCCTAAATGCTCCACTTAAAAGATACAGAATGGCAGAATGGATAAAACTCCATTAACCAAGTATCTGCTGTCTTCAAGAGACTTACCTAACACATAAAGACTCACATAAACTTAAGGTAAAAGGGTGGAAAAAGATACTCCACACAAATGGACATAAAAAGCAAGCAAGAGTAGCTATTCTTATATCAGATAAAGCAGACTTTAAAGCAACAACAGTTAAAAAAAAAAAGATAAACAGGGTCATTACATAACGATAAAGGGATTAAACCAACAAGAAAATACTGCAATCCTAAATATATATGGATATATGCACCTAACACTGGAGCTCTCAAATTTATAAAACAATTATTACTAGATGTAATAAATGAGATAGACAGCAATACGATAATAGTGAGGGATTTCAATACTGCATTGACAGCTGTTAGACAAATCATCAAGACAGAAAGTCAACAAAGAAATAATGGACTTAAACTATACCCTAGAACAAATCCGGATTTAACAGATATTTACAAAACATTCTACCCAACAACTGCAGAAAATATACATTCTTTTTTTATTAGTACATGGAACATGCTTCAAGATATGCCATATGATAGGTCACAAAACAAGTCTCAGTAAATTTTTAAGAATTAAAATTATATCAAGTATTCTCTCAGACCACAGTTAAATAAAACTGGAAATCAACTTCAAAAGGAACCCTCAAAACTATGCAAATACGTGGAGATTAAATAATATGCTCTTGTATGATCTTGGGTTAATGAAATCAAGGTGAAAATTAAAAAATTCTTTGAACTTAACAATAATAGTGACACAACCTAATAAAACCTCTGGGATACAGCAAAAGCAGTGCTAAGAGGAAAGTTCATAGCATTAAATGCCTCCATCAAAAAGTCTGAAAGTGCACAAATCGACATTCTAGTCCCACCTCAAGGAACTAGAGAAACAAGAACAAACCAAACAGAAACCCAGCAGAAGAAAAGAGATAACAAAGATAAGAGCAGAACTAAATGAAATTGAAACAAAAAAATACAAAATATAAATGAAACAAAAAGCTGGTTCTTTGAAAAGATAAACAAAATTGATAGGCAGTTAGCAAGATGAACCAAGAAAAGAAGAGAAAAGATCCCAATGAACTCAACTACAAACAAAATGGGAGCTATTATGACTGATACCACAGAAATACAAAATATCATTCAAGACTAATATGAACATTTTTATGCACAAAAACAAGAAAATCTAGATGAGATGGATAAATTCCTGGAAATATACAACCCTCCTAGATAAAACCAGGAAGAAATAGAAACTCTGAACAGACCAGTAACAAGCTGCAAGATTAAAATGGTAATTCAAAAGTTACCACAAAAAAAAAAAAAAAATTCCAGGACCAGATGAATTCACAGCTGAATTCTATCACGCATTCAAAAAAGAATTGGTAGCAATCTTATTGATGCTATTCCACAAGATAGAGATAAAAAGGAATCCTTCTGAAAATACTCTATAAAGCCAGTATCACTCTAATTCAAAAACCAGGAAAGGATATAACTAAAAAAGAAAACTACAGACCAATATCCCTGATGAATATAGATGCAAAAATCCTAAATAAAATACTAGCTAACAGAATCCGACAGCATATCAAAAAGATAATACACCATGATCGAGTGGAATTCAGACCATGAATGCAGGGATGGTTGAACATCTGCAAGTTAGTGAATATGACACATTACATAAACAGAATTTAAAACAAAAATTATATGATTATCTCAATAGATGCAGAAAAAGCATTTCACAGAATCTAGCATCGATTTATGATTAAAACCTCAGCAAAATTGGCATAAAAGAGACATACCTCAAGGTAATAAAAGTCATCTATGAGAAACACACAACCAACATTATCCTGAATGAGGAAAAGTTGAAAGCATTCCCCCTAAGAATTGGATCAAGACAAGGATGCCTACTTTCACTACTTCTATTCAACATAGTACTGGAAGTCCTAGCCAAAGCAATCAACCCAAGAAGAGAAAGAAATAAAGGGCATCCAAATCGGTAAAGAGGGAGTCAAATTGCCACTGTTTACTGATGATATGACTGTCTACCTAGAAAACCCTAAAGGCTCATCAAAAAAGTTCCTAGATCTGATAAATGAATTCAGTAAAGTTTCAAGATACAAAATCAATGTACAAAAATTAATAACAGTGCTATACACCTACAGTGACAAAGTTGAGAACGAAATCAAGAAGTTAACCTCTTTTATAATAGCTGCAAAAAATAAATAAAATAAATAAAATAAAATACTTAGGAATATGCCTAACCAAAGAGGTGATAGACCTCTACAAGTAAAACTACAAAACATTGCTGAAAGAAATCATAAAAGACACAAATATATGGAAACACATCCCATGCTCATGGATGGGTAGAAACAGTATTGTGAAAATAGCCACACAGCCAAAAGCAATCTACAAATTCAATGCAACTCCCATCAAAATACCATCATCATTCCTCACAGAACTAGAAAAAAAAATCCTAAAATTCATATGTAACCAAAAAGGAGCCACATAGTCACCAAAATAGCATGGTACTGGTACAAAAATGGGCACATAGACCAATGGAACATAATAGAGAAACCAGGAATAAAGCCAAATACTTACAGCTAACTGATCTTTGACTAAGCAAACAAAAACATAAAGTGGGGATGGACACCCTACTCAACAAATGCTGCTGGGATAATTGGCAAGCCACATGTAGAACAACAAAACTGGATCCTCATATTTCACCTTATATAAAAATCAACTCAAGATGGATCAAAGACTTAAATCTAAGACCTGAAACCATGAAAATTCTAGAAGACATGATCGGAAAAACTCTTCTAGACATAGGTTTAGGCAAAGACTTCATGACCAAGAACCCAAAAGCAAATGCAACAAAAACAAAAAATAAATAAATGGGACCTAATTAAACTAAAAATCTCCTGCACAGCAAATGAAATAATCAGCATAGTTAACAGACAACAACCCACAGAGGCAGTGAAAACTTCCCAATCTACACATCCAACAAAAGACTAATATCCAGAGTCTACAAGGAACACAAACAAATCAGCAAGAAAAAAAAATCCCATCAAAAAGTGGGCTAAGGACAAGTATAGACAATTCTCAAAAGAAGATACACAAATGCAAATTAAAACCACAATGAGACATCACCTTACTCCTGCAAGAATGGCCATAATTTAAAAATAAAAAAAAAATAGATGTTAGCACAAATGTGATGAAAAGGGAGCACGTTTACACTGCTGGTGAGAATGTAAACTAGTACAACCACTATGGAAAACAGTGTGGAGATTCCTTAAAGAGCTAAAAGTGGAACTACCATTTGATGCAGCAATTCCATTCCTGGGTATCTACCCAAAGGAAAAGAAGTCATAATATGAAAAAGACGCTTGCATGCGCATTTTTATAGCAGCACAATTCTCAATTGCAAAACTATGGAACCAGCCTAAATGACTACCAATCAACAAGTGGATAAAGAAAATGTGACATATAAACACACACACACACACACACACACACACACACACACACATACATACACTGGAATGCTACTCAGCCATAAAAAGGAACAAAATAATGGCATTCACAGCAACCTGGGTGGAGCTGGAGACCATCATTTTAAGTGACATAACTCAGGAATGGAAAACCAAATATCATATGTTCTCACTTACAAGTGGGAGCTAAGCTATGAAGATGCAAGGGTATAAGAATGATATAATGGACTTTGGGGGCTCGGGGGGAGCAGGGGAAGGCATAAGTGATAAAAACATTTGGTACAGTGTACATTCCTCGGATGACGGGCGCACCAAAATCTGAGAAATCACTACTAAAGAACTTATTCATGTAACCAAAAACCACCTGTTTCCCAAAAACTACTTAAATAAAATTTTAAGAAATGCAAATTACATTTAAAAAATAAATAAAAATAAAACAAGGGCTCATATGCACAATTTATAACCTTTTGTATTTTGAAAGACTTACTTCTCATTCATTTGAAATATCACCTACATAAGAGTTAAGAAGCGTTAAAGAAAACAAAGTAGCAAGATTTTTAAAAATATATTATGAAAATACAATTGATATATTATTGATTTCATTTATTCATTCATTCACCAAAAATTTGTAGAATTCCTTACTTCATGCCAGGCATTGGGTACAAGAGGTCAGTCTAACCCCTGTCTTCATGAGCCTATTGTTCAAGTGATATTCTCATCGATATCATCAATATCTCATTCCTATACTAGAAAAGCATTTTCTCATTCTAGCACATATAAAAAGAATTCCAATTATGGTTCTTTCTGCTGTATAACTAACTACTGAAGTTTGACAGAAAATCACCTCAAAGTTTAGTTTTGTGTTTTTTCTCATCCTCTCGGCAGAAGTTTGTTTACTACAGCTTTCAAAATGTGTCACACCTGCGGCTCTCACTTGAAAGGAAGCACATAAAAACCTGAAGACTTCATTCCCTGGGAAATCTAGCAGAGAAAGACTGATGAAATCAAGGACATGCCCATACCAGAGGAAAAAATCAAGCTGCCAGGTCTAGCTCAACTCATGCATTTTTATGTCTCTTGAGGCTGTTGATTAGAGTCCTTCGTCTAGAAATGCCCGTGCATCCCATCCAGGAATACTACTATTATTTTTCACTTTTCCATTTTCTTCTCTTCCATCAGCCTGAATATCTAGTCTAAATCCATGGGACTAAATTTGTCAAACAGATAAGCAGCACTGCGATTCAGAGGGAGACTGTAAGATTTCTTTTTTTTTTTTTTTTTTTGAGACGGAGTCTCGCTCTGTCGCCCAGGCTGGAGTGCAGTGGCGCGATCTCGGCTCACTGCAAGCTCCGCCTCCCGGGTTCACGCCATTCTCCTGCCTCAGCCTCCCGAGTAGCTGGGACTACAGGCGCCCGCTACCACGCCCGGCTAATTTTTTGTATTTTTAGTAGAGACGGGGTTTCACCGTGTTAGCCAGGATGGTCTCGATCTCCTGACCTCGTGATCCGCCCGCCTCGGCCTCCCAAAGTGCTGGGATTACAGGCGTGAGCCACCGCGCCCGGCCGGATTTCTTTTAAAAAAATAAATAAAATAAATTTAAGATTGTTTGCTTCCTTCAAGAAGAAAAAACTGATTAGGACAATCATTACTGGATCACACATATGTATCCCCATGATGGAAAGGAAGGAGTCTAAATTAGCCTTCTACTGATGTATAAAAATTTATATTTCCATGCATTAGGGTTTCTCCTTAGGTATGTGAACAAATTAGCATCCTGAAGAATTATTTTAAGTGGTGAATTGTGCATTCTTCTAAACTTCTAAGATAGACATGTTATCTCCACTACTTAGCTACTAGAACCAAAAGAAGAGGTCTTGACATCAAAAGCAAAACACAGGTTATATAGCTGACAAATCATGAAAAGTTTACTTCATTTGTTTCAAAGATTCATCTGCAGAAAGTTAAAGCCACTTAGGAAACATATAATGAAAGGTTAAACCACCAGTTTAGTCTTGATGGTTGACCACTAACACACCAGGCCTCCAACACTATCCAGTCAAATAAACACTCTTAATTTCTCATTAATTAGGGGATGAAAATAGCTTTAACACATCATATTTTACTACCTGGGCCCAGTGAGAAATAATACACACTATAAAACCGTTTTCTGATTCATCTCCATCTTAAAGTACTGGAACAAATACTTTCCTTTGCATAGACTTAAGATTGTTTAAAATCTTTGCTCCTGATATGTAAAGCCAGTCAGACCTGCCCAGAAATAAAGGCTTCAAGGTATGCTTTTATTTCTACTTGGTGATGATCAATTTGTTGAGCCCTCTAAAATAATAGGCAACCATTTGTTCATGATTTTAAAGTTCATTCATATACTTCATTTACTAATAGAAAAAGGAAAGGTCTTTCATTCATCATTCCTTTCCCAAAAGTTTTTTAGCCTCTTCTAAAAATCTGTTTCCTCAAACCTTTTAGTGTAGTGGGGCTTTAAGACCTTCCTTGAAAATATTTGGGATGCATTCAGCTTAACTGAAACACCAAAAGTTCATTATTTGGCAAGCATACATGGCTTAATTTTATTCTATTGCATCTCATATTTACATATACCTCATTAGCGTTATTACTACCAGCTTGCAATTATCCCCAGTAATGAAGGATACAGAATACATGGAAATGGAAATTCCCTTATAAATCCCAAGCCTTATTTTATCCAGAACATTCAGTCTTCTTCTAATCTAACCTTTTACCATATGTGATATTTTACTAGGTTTTTACTAGAAAGGCTGACAATTAGTAAAACTGGCTTATTGTAGGTTCCCCTCATCTCACTTCTGGCAGAACACTGGCTAAGTGTAAGTAGTGTTCATGGTGCAAGACACAGTTTAGAGTTAGGAGTGATGTTAAAGTGAACTGAGGTATGGGACTTAAGTATTTAGGTCAATATACCAGGAATCCTAAGAGCAGTAAGACCAAAAACAATGCATAGAGCAAGGGAAGAACAGGAAACTGCTCTAATCCTGGCTTGAAGCAGCCAACAGGAAATGGGTTTTTTTTTCAGACCCTGATAACCTACATCACTGAAGGGCTTTAATCTCAGGTCCTGAGCGTAAAGGATAGAGTCTTTTTATGATTGAAGAAAAGAGTAAAAAACACGGGGATATTGTGGAAAAACTCCCATGGATTCACAAAATCTATAGTCAAAGATTAGCCCAGTAAGAACTGCCTAAATTCTGTATCAGAAAAAGAGACAAACAAACAACGAACAAAAAATAGGAGAGCAGCATACAGGAAATTTCAGAAAATGCCTTTAAACACATAGAAGTTGGATGTTTCGTCGACCCTAGCCCTTGATAATTTCAGACAATACTCTCTCTAAATGCCAGAAGGAGTGAGAGGGAGGAAAATCAGAATGCTCCGGGGCTGTACTCTTAGAATTCCAGACTCTCCTTGTCCAAGTCACAGGTGGATCCCTATGTGGGAATATGAGAACATTTCTGGGGACCTGAGTTCCTGGACTATGTCTTCTGTGGCTAATTCCAGAGACAGTGCCAAATCAAGAATAATTATTGTTACAACACGCATTCTAAAAGTAAATGAAGTCCTTACAATTTTTTTAACAATATAAATTTATTCTTTCACAGTTCTGGAGGCCAGAAGTCTGAAGTTAAGCTGTTGGCACAGTCAGTTCCAGAGACTTAAAGGCAGAATCTGTTTAGTGCCTGTCCTAAGTTACAACAGCTGTTGGCAATCCGTGCTGCTCCTTGGTTTGCAGACACATCACTCCAATCTCCACCTCTGCCATCGCATGGCTTTCCCTGTGTCTGCCTGTGGCTTTTTCTTTTCCGTGTTTTATTTTATTTTTTTTTAAGAGAGACAGGTCTCAATATGTGGCCCAAGTTGGCTTCAAACTCCTGGGCTCAAGTGATTCTCCCACCTCAGCCTCCTGAGAAGCAGGGACTATAGGTATTTGCCACCATGCCTGCCTCCATTCCTGTCTTCTATAAAGTCACAATCATAACTTTTATTAGGCCCACCCTAATCAGATGGTCTCAACTTAAGTTTTTTACATTAATTACATCTGCAAAGACCCTTTCTAAATAAAGTCATATTGATAGTACCAAGGGTCAATATTTGGGCATATCTGTTTGAGGATTACAATTAAATCAATTACACTTGACCAGTTTACAATTTTTAGAACATATTTTTTAAAAATAAAACTTTATACTAAATGAAAAACATGTGTCAGGTAATAAGGTACTGGTGGTAATAAAACCAGGAGGTCTAACACGAACAAACTATGGTGAATGAGCAATAAGTTACATTTGATCCAAGGCAAAAGAGAAATACATTAAGAGTAGATCCCTTGAGATAATTTGGTAGTTTCTAAGACACTTATTTTTCCTCCAATTAGGGCATGAATTAACATTGATGCCAATAAGTAGGAAGACTGACTAAAATCTATGTTGAGTACAGAAAGAAAAGTAAATACCTATAAATAATTATGTAACTAAAAGAGAAGAATAAAAATTAACAAGTAAACTGGTTGCTGAGGAAAATATTAGTAGCCTATAGATTGGTTAGTTTTTTAGAATTCGCATTGGGTACCTCAACCAAAAAAGTTGGATGACAATGTCAGAGGGGCTGCCTCAAAGAGAGAGGAAGAAATAAGAGCCAGATAAAACACAAAGAACAATTTTGATAATCATGGTGAAGTTTTAAAACATGCAGGGAGAAAAATAAAATTCTAAGCAAATGTCCTGTATTCCGTAGCATTTCAAGGATCACAGAAAGTAAATTTCATATCACGATGCTTTTATTTATTTTGAGGCAGTTTAAAGATATTCACCTTGTGACAAATATTACCCTTGCTCTGAAGAGGTGAAAAATCAGCACAGGCTGTGCTCAGAATATTAGAAGGCCTATGAGCAGTTTTGAATACAGATATATTAGGATTTATTCATTAACTTTGAAAAGTAATACTCAACCAAAGGAATTGGATAGCTTCCAACAGTTGCAATGAGAAACAGGACAACTAAAATGCAGTATGTTTTACAGAATTCACCATGAACTCTTCATGAATATTTTTAACTAGATGGGGTGTTTGTTACTTCCTTCAGATACATTTTTAAATCAGTGATTGTTCACTGTAATGAGTATTTCTCTATCAAGGGGGAAATTTTTCTTTTTTTACCAGATAAATATTCTCCCAGAAATATTTAATAAGTTCATTTATATGGCACATGTCCATTTAACTTAGATCTTATGAGTAGTGTTCCAAGTTAAAATACTAGTTAATATTTCATTAAAATCACTTGATGAAAAATAAAAACATATATAACAACAAAAAATATACCCATATAGTAGTCACTTCCTTTTCAACATATATTTTACAAAAAAAAGAATAGGTAAATATATTTTCACAAATTTCTACAGCAGTAGAAATACACAAAGAAAGAGATAATCAAGTAAACATAATTTTAATATAATCTTGTAGACTAGATATTATACAAGTTATAGGAAAATTTAACTATTAAAAATTACAAATAAAGTTTTTATTTAAATATGCATTGCAAAAAATGAGATATTTGGTTTCAAAAATTTATAAAACCATATTTTCAAATTTTTAAATGCCAATTATCCTTCAATTTGTAATTCATAAATAATCTATATTTAATATGTACTTTTCATAAGTAGCCTCTTCTTTTACTATTAGGAAAAAAAAGAAAAACAGTTTAAACCAGGAAACTTTAACTTAGTTTTCTTTGAATTTGGAGACTATAACTGCTTTTAAGAATCTTATTAATGCTGTGAATATTCTACCCATGTTCTAGTTCTCCACAAACATTCAAATATATACAGCCAACAAATTTTCCTATATAATTTCAGGGAGTCCTCAGTTGTAATGAATGCCAAAATCTAGCATAAGAATCTCTTGCCTTGTAATTTTATATGCTAAGGAATACTCTAAGTACTGGGGAAGAAATAGAGAATTGACAGGTGCTCATATGGTTTGGCTATAACCCCACCCAAATCTCATCTTGAATTGTAGCGCCCGTAATTCCCACGTGTCATGGGAGGGACCCAGTGGGAGGTCACTGAATTGTGGGGGCAGGTCTTTTCTGTGCTATTCTTGTGATAGTGAATAAGTCCCATGAGATCTGACAGTTTTATAAATGGCAGTTCCCCTGTACAAGCTCTCTCTTGCCTGCCACCACGTAGACTTGCCTTTGCTTTTTCTTTGCCTTCTGCCATGATTGTGAGGGCTGCCCAGTCACATGGGACTGTGATTCCGTTCAACCTCTTTTTCTTTATACAACACCCAGTCTTAGGTATGGCTTTATTAGCAGCATAAGAACAGACTAATACAGGTGTGAAGGCAGTTTTTTCTGGTCAATTCTCTACTTCCCCTGCTTAGACTATTCTTTAGCACATAATAAATAATTTTTGGGTGAATGAGTTATTCTATCAATTCTGGGTATATTCAAGGCTGTGGAAGCAGCTCTATAAAGAGGGAATTAACATAGGATTTAGATCCAGAAGATATGATTTTAAATTTCTCCTTCCTAATCTTCACTATGACCTCAAACAAATTATCTAAATTCTCTGAGCCTCAATTTTCTTATCTGTAAAATGGGAATAATAAAATCCGTACCTAGTAAGTTAATAAGATTTAAATTTAATAAGAATTAAATTGAAGCAATATTTGTCATCAACAATTTGACCAGTGAAAGACAACAGTGGTTTGGTTAGGCACAGTGTTTTAGAAAAAAATTAACTGGCAGATATTTATGGAAGTCATACAACTTTCTCTTACCCCAGACTCCAGTTTTACTCATTTTCTTCTGTGTCCCTGCCTTCCTACTTTACATATGTGTTACCTGCCTGGTCTATGAAAGCATTTGGGTTTGATTCCTAAAAAATATTCAGTACATACTAATTCTGCATAGTCAACACTGAGGTAAAAGTTCTTTGAAAGCCAATGCATACTTTGCAAAGGAGTAAATTTTTCATATAGAGAGAAAGCCCTAAACAATTCTCAGAAGTTAATTAATTCTGAGAAAAAGAAAACACAAGGCTGATGAAATAGCAGTTACCACACGATAGTTGATCTATAGATCAACAGAAACTAAGAATAACAAGAAATAATCTGCTGTAGCAGAATGGAGGCTACAAACTGTAGACAGGATTAACACAGTAGGACCTGAAATCAGTCATTGGAAAAATCAGTGGTCACAAAGAAAACAAAAAAAAATGCAAATAATAAAAAATAACGATAGGTAGGGTGTCAGGGGAGGATGGATAAAAAACCTCATGATGTTGGACAACTAATATAGGCAAGTTAGGGGCTGTAATAATGTAAAGATTTTTCTTTTGTGGGTTTAAAATGAGTTTGAAAGAGGAAGTTTCAATGTCTTTTATCCCCAAAATATGTGTAGGCATAAAATGTATGGGTTTATTTTCTGGACAAGTTTTATTGCTGTGTCCAACCAAGTGAAAAGCTCCAGCCATTGGGGAATGCTGCTGTGAATATTTTCTATTTTCAGTTTTGTTTTAGAAGGTAGTGGGAAATTTTTTTTCTTCCATCTAGTACCCTAAGATCCATTTTAGTCTCCTGGCAACCATTCTCTTCATTTCTCACAAAAGACAATGAAATTGCTATACTTTTATAGCTTAGAAAAAAATCACTATATTGCTGATATTTTTCCTAGAAACTTCAAACAGAGCAAATCTCAAAACTAATAGCGTCCACTTTGCACTTTAGATAGACCATAAAGGTCAATTTGTTACAAACTGAAACATTTATTCCTTTAGGATGAAAAGAAAAAAAAAACATGGAATTAGCTGTCACATGTCTTTACCAGAAAAGCAAATGGGAATGTTCATAAATGTGATACTGCTATCAAATGACAGCCTTGGCTTTAAGCAAAACAGGTTGTTACATCACATTAGAGCAGCCACATTGACTAACTCTGCTGCTGATACACACAGGAAAGAAGCTCAGAGGCATCACAAATAGCTGCTTTAATCCAAATGCCAGACAAGCCACAAACGAGTTGTACCCTAGGGATAGAATTGTATGTGCTCAAAGTTTAAACAGGAAAGAGAGAAACAAATGACTTGTTTCCCTAAAGAACAAAAGGAAAACAGAGCAGGAAAATTTCAACTAGAGTAGAAATTTTGTACATTGTCATACAATCAGTATAAATCTTGGTAATAAATAGTATGTACCACATAGCTAGAATTCACAGAAAGTATGTCTACACTCTCACAGCAATGCTGCAGCATATTCATTTTTCAGATAGGTAAACTGAGGCTCAGAATTGTTAAATAACATATCCAAAGTCCCACAGCTATTAAGTGGCAGAATTAAAGTTCAAATATGAGTCAGTCTATTGCCATCTAATATCCAACCCCACTATTCATTTTCTCACCCCAGGATTCCTCTTTTCACAAATTACCTATAATTTGTTAGCAAAAGTTTAAGTATCATCCATACCTGTGAATCCCAGACTCAAGTTGTATCTTCTGGAGTCTCAGGCCTACGGGAATTCTCAAAAGTAACCATGGGATAATTGATGATGAGAAGGAAACCACAGCCCCAAAAGCCACAGCACCAGTTTGGGCCTCCGTTTTAAATTAAGAAGCCAGGCTACACTCAGTGCTGACAAACTGCAAATCACTGCGACTCTACACTAGAAAATTACTAAAAGTTACACAGAAATGAGTTTCTCAGTCGGAAGAAAATGGAACATTTGGGAACAGACCAAATAAGCAAAATTAATATTATATTTTGGTTCCCAAAACTATTATTATAGTGTTTTCATGATTGGATATAATATAAAAATAATATAGACAAGTAATAGGCATGGGTTGAATTACGTGAAATAAATAAAAGCTTTGCTCTGTCTAATCTGGAAGTTGTTTTTAGATCCAAATTTTTTTCCCACATGGGATGGAAAATAGGATGGGAAATACTGCAGCTACACTAACCTTTATGACAGAAAGCATATGTAGATAGAAAGTATAAACAATCCCTTTCATTAGAAGGATAGTATCTTTTTATGGTCACAACAAATTTAAAAGATAAGGAAAATATCTCAATCTCTAAGAACTTTCCCTTTTTCTCTAGGGAAAATGTAGAGACTGACTAAACAAAGAAAAATTCAAAAGCTCATTTATATTGCTTTAATTGTTTAGAAATCATATATAAATATTTTACCTGATCTAGTTATACAGTTCATTATATTTTGTCCTTCAAGTACATATGAACAATATATATTTTATAATTTTATAAGAGCAAAAATCTCGCTACTGACTCTAAGAAAGTGTCTTAGGCTGCCATCTTTTCCTTTTAAGCATTTTAATTTATCAAGACTCTTTGATGACCCCATCACTCCAGTCAAATAAAGGAACTGAAAACAAGAAAATGAGCACTGTTCTCTTTATTTACTCCTTTTCTTTTTCTGTATTTCAGGCTTTTAAATCCATCTCTAAAACTGTTTATGATGACACAGATCTACATTGTCACTATCATATGAATCAAGAACTATTATTTTTAAAAAACAATTATTTAAAAAAAAATAATACCCTTTGTTTAAGAAACAAAGGATGGGTAAAGATCTAAGTGACACCTTAGCTTATCTATGGCTGAGAGACTGATCAACTAACTCATGTAAGATAACCTCTCCCCCAGTAGGGTCAAGAGAGAGCTGACTGAACTCCTCTCCTGAGAAAATGACCCCTCCTACCCTAAGGCTTCTGCCTCCATCATCAGTCAGGTCATCAGTTCAACAATGAAACTAAACTCTCCCAGATTTCCTTAGCTCTGTTTAAAGCCATCAGGAAAAACCCAGATACAACTCGTCACTAATCTCCAATACTCATAGCCACTAATTTCCTTGAATCCACCAGAACCAATCTCATTATGCCACTTATTCCTGTCTATATCAAGAACTCTCAGACTCTCAGGTCACACCTCACTTCTCATACTTTAATTCCCACAAGGCTCTAACATGATCCTTCTTCCTCACCACCACCCCATACACAAACAGCCATTTTCAAATCTTTTCCATCATGCCTTCAGGAATTATTAATAAAATCCATCATCAGCAAAAGTCTCTATCTTCAACATCTTCTCTTAGCATTCTGTTCACTTTCTTGCTACAGAGAGCAGAAACCTGGCTTTCCCTGAGGACTCTGTGTCCCACCCAGCCATCTAAAGTGGCTGTTTTTCTCCCATGTTCTAGGCTTGGAGGTGGGTCACGCGTCCTCCTTGCTCCTCTCATCATTTGTCCATCCTCATTCTCCCTTCCCTAAACCATCAACTTTAAATCCCTGTTACCAAACATCACCCCCTACCCTGCATTGTTTTGTGATCAATCAATTCCCAAGTCCTTCTACCTCATTTCTCAAAGATGTCAGCTCCTGACTCATTAACATTCTTTCCAACACCACTCCTGTAATTCTTTGTGGTTGTAATATCCACACATATGAGCTTTCTAATCGGTGTCTTCTGTATTCTTCAACCTCCTCTCCCCAAAGGATCCTGCTCTTCACCCTATCTCAGTCACTATCCCCATAGGTAGACCATAGACCTTTAACAATAGCTATGCCTGCTCCACAAGCTCAATGTCATGCCTCCCACTTTCTGACCACCACATATTCTTCCTGTTCTCTTTCTCTAGTTTTCCATCTCCAATAGTTCTTTGATCCCATGCTAAATTTTTCTATCCTTCCACTGTCCATCAACCCATCCATGTTCTCTTTATTCTCACTACTCAGTTTAAGTTTCATAATAGATTTATAATCACTCCCTTACATAGACTCTCAACTCCCTTGCATTTCTGTTGATTCATCACAGTCACTTGCAACACTGCTATCTAGATTAAATCCAATTCTTTACTTTCTACGCCTGAGAGTGGCTGGGGAAAAAAAAAAACACAACTATGCTAATCATTTTCACTTTAAAATGGTGACTACTTCTCTCAAGTGTACTCTTAAAATATTCTGGTGTGCAGAAAAAAAATTAACATAGCAGGCCTGAGATTGCTATCCTTAAAAAGGGCTGTTTGCAAAACTGGCCCTTGACTGGCATCTGCAAACTTGGATTTTAGGAGGGTGCCAACCATTCCCTGACAAACATGGCTCACTGGGCCCACATTGCGCAAATGGTTTATGCCAAACACCTGCTTTCCTTCTGGAAGTCTGAAATTTTAATATGTGCTAGGCAGAGAATGCCTGCATGACCAATCCTCAATAAAAACTCTGGGCAATGAGTTTCTAATGAGCTTTCTTGGTAAACAGAATTTCATGCGTTTTCACAACCAGTTGCTGAAGAAATTAAGCACGCCCTATGTAACTCCACTGGGAAAGTACTCTTGGAAGTTTGTATCTGATTTCCTATAGGCTTTGCTGAATTTACTTTGTATCCTTTCACCATAATAAATCATAGCGATAAGTAGAATAATAGGCTGAGTCCTGTGAATCTTCCTAATGAATCATAGAAACTAGGGGTATTCTTGAGGACCCCTGAAACACCTGGCCACTATGGCATATTTCCCTAGTTCTTTTACTGTCTTAGATAATTATGGTATATATTCTACTCTCTTCTCAAGCATTCAATACATGTTTTGTTTTGTTTTGTTTGTTTTTGAGATGGAGTCTTGCTTATCGCCCAGGCTAGAGTGCAGTGGTGTGACCTCAGTTCATTGCAACCTTCGCCTCCCAGGTTCAAGCAATTCTCCTGCCTCAGCCTTCTGAGTAGCTGGGATTACAGGCTCCCACCACCACGCCCAGCTAATTTTTGTATTTTTAGTAGAGATGGGGTTTTGCCATTTTGGCCAGGTTGGTTTTGAATTCCTGGCCCTAAGCAATCTACCCACCTCAGCCTCCCACCCGGCAAACACCTTTGTTTCTCACTCTAATGATTGTCTAGTGAGAGTAACAAGCTCTCACTCTAAGCTGACTCTGATTTCTAATTCTTTGAGAAAATTCAGCAATGAAAAAAAGAACTTCAATAAAGTTGCAATTCTACATCTACTCACATGCATCTACACCTTCATATCCTTTCCTTCCTTCTTGTTATAGGGGAAGTCTCTGTTCCTATTTAAAGCCAGTCCCACAGCTTCTCAAAGCCTTCCTCGCCTACTCAAAGACAGTGCTCCAGCAATTGTCCCTCTCTTTTTTGCACTGATTTCCCACTCTCTGTTGAATCTTTCCCATCAACATGCAAACAAGCTGTTACTTCTTTAATCTTTAAAATATTCTCTTGGCTCCACTTCCCCCACTAGCTTCCCTTCCATTTTTTTTTTATTCCTCTTTGCAGCAAAACACCTTAAAAGAGTTGTGTGTGTTATTTTCCAATTCCCCCTCTCCTTGTAATGTGCATTTAACCTCCACCATTAAACATAAACTTCTCTTACTATATTATGAACTGTATATTTGTGTCCCCTCAAAATTTATGTGTTAAAATCCTCACCCTCAATGTGATGGTATTAGGAGGCAGGGCCTTGGGAAGATAATTAGGTCATTGACATGGCCCCCTCATTAATGGGATTAGTGCCCTTATAAAAGGGACTCCAGAGAGCTCTCTCCCCTGCTTTCTGCAATGTAAGATACAATAAGAAGTCTGAAGTCTCCAACCCAGAAAATCGCCCTCACCTTAATCCAATCATGCTGGCACCCTGACTCAAACTTTCAGCCTCCAGAACTGTGAGAAATAAATTTCTGTTTCTTGTAAGTTGTTCAATCTATGGTACTTAGTTGTGGCAGCCCAAACTGTGTAAAATACAAATATACTTTTTCACTTAACTTCTAGAGTAAAATAATCTCTTAGTTTTCCTCCTACTTCAGCAATGGCTTCTGCTCAGTCTTCTTAGATCATTTCTTCTATTTGATAGAACTTTTGATGATAGAGTACCTCAGGGCTCAATCTTTCATCTTTTTTTTCTAATTACACAGTGTCCCTTCATGTTCCCTTCCATTTTTTTATGCCAATAATTCCCAAACTTACATATCTAATGCTGGCCTCCTTTGTGAAATCCAGGTTAATACTATCACTACCTGCTCTACATTGCTACTTTGATGACTAATAGATATCTCAAACTTCACAAGTCTCAAACTGGACTCCAATTCTTTCTCTTCAGAACTGCTCTATCTACAGCTTTCCCCATTTCAACTGATGTCAATTCTTTCCTTCCAGTTGTTCAAGCCAAAAACCTTAAAGTCAACTTTCACTCCTCTCTTTTGCCTTCCAAACCAACAAAAAGTCTTTCTGGCGGCCAGGTGGGGTGGCTCACTCCTGTAATCCCAGCACTTTGGGAGGCCGAGGCGGGCAGATCACGAGGTCAGGAGATCGAGACCATCCTGGCGAACACGGTGAAATCCCATCTCTACTGAAAATACAAAAAAATTAGTCGGGAGTGGTGGTGGGTGCCTGTAGTCCCAGCTGCTCGGGAGGCTGAGACAGGAGAATGGCATGAACCCGGGGGGCAGAGCTTGCAGTGAACGGACATCACGCCACTGCACTCCAGCCTGGGCGACAGAGCAAGACCCCGTCTCAAAAAAAAAAAAAAAAAAAAAAAAAAAAAGTATTGCTGGCTTTATCTTCAAAATATTTGTAGAATCTGATCAACTTTCACCCCCTTCTCTCTGTCTCCTGGGCCATGCCACCATCATCACTTACCTAGATTATTGCATTGGATTTTGAACAGGTTTCACTACTTCCATGCTTTTCTCCCTGGTCTTGTTAATACAGCAAGAGAGATCCTCTCTAAGCTGAAGTCAGATATGTCATACCTCAGCTCAAAATCCTGCAGTGGTCTCTTACTTTCCTCAGGTAAAAGGCAAAATCATATGTAACCTGTCCTCATTACCTCTGATGCAAAACTACCATGCGTACTATTCAAAGTTCCACTTTTTGAGAGTTAGTGGTTTAATGAAAGGATTGTTTCATACATAGGGCTTTTTTCCATTATTACTTTCATAATTTTCCCTTGCTTTCAAGGAGCTGCATCTTTGACTTTTTTTCTTGACGTAGTTAATCTCCTACTTGATTAAGACTACTTGAGTAGTCTTAATCTCCTACTCAAACAACCTTACAATGTAAGTTTCCCTACAGTCTCTCCACAGATCATTTACTAAGATATTAAAAGGCTTTCCAGGTAAATTTGTACCTAGAAAGAATTACTGCCATGAAGATTATCGGAATGTCAGAAAGAAAACTATATGGAAGCATTAGGTAAAAGAAAAATAATAGATTTACACTTTTTAGCAAGAAGCTTACTTATAGTAAAATTCCAAAAAAGAATTATTATAATGGGTGTCAAGGAGAGATTTTTTTTTCCCTGGCACCAAAGTTGACTTTTAATTTATCCTAAAATAACCGAAGTTAAAACCATGATAAAACATTATACTTTCCCATAGAACACGCCCCGCCAAACACACAGAAAGGAGTATGTGTATGAGAAAAGTAGTTTATACATGGGATGAAACAATATAAATTCAAAACTTACAGATAAGGGTAAGCTCTATCACTAATCTTTTTTTTCCAACTTTTATTTTTGATTCAAGGGACAAGTGCAGGTTTTTTAGATGGGTAAATTGCATGTCATGGAAGTTTGATGTACAGGTCATTTTGTCACCCAGGTGATCAGCATAACACCTGATCATTTTTAGATCCTCATCCTCCTCCCTTCCTCCACCCTCAAGTAGGCCCCAGTGTCTACTGTTCACTTCTTTGTGTCTATGTGTACTCAACGGTTAATTTCCACTTCTAAGAGAGGACATGTGTTATTTGGTTTTCTGTTCCTGAATTACTTTGCTTAAGATAATGACCTCCCGCTCCATCCATGTTGTAGCAATTGGCGTGATCTTGTTGTTTTTTATACTTGCATAGTATTCCATGGTGTATATGTACTACATTCTGTTTATCCAGTCCACCAATGATGGGCATCTAGGGTGATTCCATGTCTTTGCTATTGTGAATAAAGCTGCAATGAATGTATGCAGGCATGCATCTTTTTGGTAGAATGACTTATTTTGGGAGGGTGGGTACTCAATAATGAGATTGCTGGGTTGAATGGCAGTTCTGTTTTAAGTTCTTTGAGGAATTGCCATATGGATTTCCAAGATAGCTGAACTAATTTACATTCCCACCAACAGTATATAAGCGTTCTTCTTTCTCTGTAACCTCACCAGCATCTGTTATTTTTTGAATTTTTATCGACAGCCATTCTGACTGGTGTGAGAGGGCATCTCATTTTGGTTTTGATTTGCGTTTTTCTAATGACTAGTAATATTGAGCATTGTTTCCTATGTTTATTGGCTGCTTGTCTGTCTTCTTTTGAGAATTGTCGGCTTATGTCCTTTGTCCATTATTTAATGAGGTTGTTTTTTGCTTAATTTCCTTATAGATTTTGGATACTCGACCTTTGTTGGATACATAGTTTGCAAATATTTTCTTCCATTCTGTAGGTTGTCTGTTTACTCTGTTGATGGCTTATTTCATTGTGCAGAAGTTCTTTGGTTTAATTAGGTCCCACCTGTCCATTTCTGTTTTTGTGAGAATTACTTTTGTAATCTTTGTGATGAAGTTTTTGCCAGTGCCAGTGTCCAGAATGGTATTTCCTGTTTTCTTCTAGGGTTTTTATAGTTTTAGGTTTTCCATTTAAGTCTTTAATCCATCTTGTGTTGATTGTTGAATATGGTGAAAGGTAGAGATCCAGATTCAATCTTCTACATTTGGCTAGTCAAATATCTTAGCACCATTTATTGAATAGGGATTTATTTCCCTTCCCATTGCTTGTTATTGTTGACTTTGTTGAAGATCAAATGGTTGTATATTTGCGGCTTTACTTCTGGGTTCTCAAACCTATTCCATAGGTATACGTGTCTGTTTTTGTATCAGTACCATGTTGTTTTAGTTATTGTATAATTATAGAATACTTTGAGGACAGGTATGTGATGCCTTGGTATGGGGAATAATATCACCCCCTTGTCCCCCTCCTCCCCCAGATCTTATGATCCACATCACAGCGGGGTGGACACCCCCCACGGTATGGGGAGTAATATCATCCCCCTGTCCACCCCCCTGGATATTAGGGTCCACATCACAGGGGGATGGACACCCCCCATGATATGGAGAGTAATATCACCCCCCTCTCTCCCCCTGGATATTACGATCCATGGAGGACACACAGCTTGTTTACCATATTGTGAGTAATATCATCTCCCCCTCTGGAAATTATAAACTATATCACAGATGGGTGTACATCCTCTGCAGTATTGGGAGTAATATCATCCTCTCTCCTACTGGATATTAAGAATAATATCACAGGAGTGTTTATACCCCCTGTGATATTGGGTGTAATATCATCCTCTCCCACACTGAGATTAAGAACTATATCACTGGGGGCATGTACACCTCCTGTGATATTTAAAGTAATATCATCCTCTTCTCTCCTGGATCATGGGAACAATATCACTGGGGGGGTGTACACTTTCTGCAATATTGGGAGTAATATTCTCCCACCTTTGAATATTATGGACAATATCACAGGAGGGGTTCACACCCCCTGCGATATTGGCAATAATATTATACTCTCCCCGTCTGCATATTAGGAAAAATATCACAGAGTGGGTGTACACCTCCTGTGATATGGGGAGCAATATCATCTTCTGGATATTAGAAACAACATCATACGGGGGTGTACACTTTCTTTGATATTGGGAGTAATGGTATCCTCTCCTCCTTTGAATATTAAGAACAATATCACAGGGGGAATGTAGACCCCCTGCGATATTGGGAGTAATATCAGGCTCTCACCCACCCCCTGGATATTAGGAACAATACCCCAAGGTGGGTGTACACCTCCTGCTATATGGGAGTAATATCATCCTCTCCCTTCCTGGATATTAGAAACAATATCACAGGGTTGGTGTACAGAGCTTTTGATATTGGGAGTAATTTCATCCTCTCCACCTCCTGATATTAGGAACAATCTCACAGAATACGTGTACACTTCCTGCGATATTGGGGATATTATCATTTCCTTCTTCTCTGAATATTAGGAGCAATATCACTGGATGGATGTACACCCACTGTTATATTGGGAGTAATGTCGTACTCTACCCCCTGGATATTAGGAGCAATATCACAGGGTGAGTGTACACCCATGGTAATATTGGGAGCAGTATCATGCTCTCCCTCTTTGGATGTTAGGAACAATATCACAGGTGAGTGTACACCCCTTGCAGTGTCAGGAGTAGAATCATCTTCTCTTCTTTTATCTATTAGGAACAATATCACAGGGGGGTTTACACCCCCTGCACTATTGGGAGTAATATCATTCTCTCTTCTGGATAGTAGGAATAATATCACAGGTGGGGTGTAAACTCCCTGTAATACTGGGAGTAATATCATCCTCTCCCATGTTGAAATTAGGGACATATCATTGGGGGCCTGTACACCCCCTGCAATATTAAAAGTAACATCATCCTTTTGTCCCTGGATATTAAGAACATAATACATAAAAGTGTACACTTTTTGTGATATTGGGAGTAATATCACCCTGCCCGCCCTTGAATATTAAGGAAAATATTACAGAGGGGGTGTACAACCCCTGCGATATTGAGAATATTATCTTCTCCCCTACTGCATATTCGGAAAAATATAACAGAGTGAGTGTACACCTCCTGTGATATGGGGAGTAATATCATCTTCTCCCCTACTGGATATTAGGAACAATATCACACGGGAGTGTACACTTTCTTTGATATTGAGAGTAATATCATCCTCTCCACCTCTAATTATTAAGAGAAATATTACAGGGTAAATGTACACCCCCTGTGATATTGGGAGTAATATCAGGCTCTGCCACCCCTGGATATTAGGAACAATATCTCAGCGTGGGTGAACACCTCCTGCTATATGGGGAGTAATATCATCCTCTCCCTTCCTGGATATTAGGAACAATTTCACAGGGTGAATATACATAGCCTGCAATATTGAAAGTAATATCATCCTCTCCCCTTCCAGAAATTAGGAACAATCTCACAAAAGGCGTGAACACTCCCTGTGATATTGGGAGTAATATCATTTTCTTCTTTCCCTGAATATTAGAAGCAATATCCCCGGGGGGATGTACACCCAACTATTATATAGGCAGTAATGTCATACTCTAAAAGATATTACTCCCCATATTGCGAGAGCTTTCACCCCCCAATATTGTTGGTAATATCCAGGTGGGGGAGAGGGTGATATTATTCCCCGTACTGCGGGGACTATTCACCCCTCCACCCCCCACGTGATATGGTTTGTAAAACCCAGGGAGGGGAGTGGGTGACTTTACTCCCCATACTGCGGGGCTGTTCACCCCTCCCTGCCGTGATATGGTTCGTAATATCCAGGAAGAGAGAGGATGATATTACTCCCATATAGCAGGAGGTGTACACCCACCTTGGGATATTGTTCCTAATATCCAGGGGGTGGGTGAGAGCCTGATATTACTCCCAATATCGCAGGGGGTCTACATTCCCCCTGTGATATTGTTCTTAATATTCAAAGGAGGAGAGGATACCATTACTCCCAATATCAAAGAAAGTGTACACCCCCGTGTGATGTTGTTTCTAATATCCAGAAGATGATATTGCTCCCCATATCGCAGGAGGTGTACACCCACTCTGTGATATTACAAGAGTAATATCTCCCCAGGATATTAAGAATAACATTCCATGGTGTACAAATATGGTGAACACCTACTTTGATATTAGGATATTAGGAGATTATAACTCCCCAGGATATTACAAATAATATCACAGGATGTACAAACAAGGCGTAAACGCACTGTGACATTAGGAGAATAATAGCTCCCCAAGTATTATGAATAATATCCAAGAGGGTGTAAACACATGGTGTGTAACCCCCTGTGATATTAGGAGAGTAACATCTCTGGAGGATATTATGAATAATATCCCAGGTTGTACACAAATTTTGTACACCCACTGCGGTATTAAGAAATTAATATCTCCCTAGGATATTACAAATAATATCCAGGGTGTACACACATGTTGTACACCCAATGTAATATTAGGAGAATAATAAATCCCCCAGATATTACAAACGATATCCCAGGGTGTGCACACATAGTGTACACTTACTGTGATATTAGAAGACTAGTATCTCTCCAGCATATTACAAATAATATCCCAGAATGTACCCACATGGCACACACCCACTGTGATATGAGGAGTAATATCTCCCCAAGATATTATGAATGGTATCCCAGGGTGTACACTCACTGTGGTATTAAAAGTAGTATCTCCCCAGTATATTACAAATAATATATTTGGGTGAACACCCACATTGATATTAGGAATTATATCTTTCTGAAATATTACGAATAATATCCCAGAGTGTACACACATGGTGTAAACCCACTGTGATATTAAGAGAGTAATATCTCCCCAGGATAATACGAATAATATTCCAGGCTGTACAAACATGGTGAACACCTACCATGATATTAGGAGAGTAATCTCCCCAGGATATTACGAATAATATCCCAGGATGTGCAAACAAGGTGTAAACGCACTGTGAGATTAGGAGAGTAATATCTCCTCAAAATATTACAAATAATGTCCCAGAGGGTGTACATAAATTGTGTACACCCTCTGTGATATTAGGATAGTAACATCTTTGCAAGACATTACGAATATCCCAGGTTGTACGCAATTTTTGTACACCCACTGTGGTATTAGGAAAGTAATATCTCCCTAGGATATTACAAATAATATCACAGGGTGTAAACCCACTGTGAGATTAGAAGTAACATCCCCCTATAATAATACGAATAATATCATAAGGTGTCCACAAGTAGTGTGCACCCACTGTCACATTAGGACTAACATCCCCCTAGAATATTATGATTAATATCACAAGGTGTACACACATGGTGTACACTCACTGTGACGTTGAGAGTAACACCATTCTAGAATATTACGAATAATATCACAGGGTGTACACACATGGTGTACACCCACTGTGACATTAGGTGTAACATCCCCCTAAAATATTACGAATAATATCACAGTTTGTACACACATCATATAACCCACTGGGAAATTAGCAGTAACGTTTTCCTAGGATATTACAAATAATATCACTGGTTGTTTACACACATGGGGTAACCCCCCTGTGACATTAGAAGTAACATCACTTTAGGATATTACGAAGAATATCACAGGGGGTGGGCACACATGGTGGACATCCCCAGTGACATTAGGAATAACATCCCCCTATGATGTTACAAATAATATGACAGGGGGTGTACACCCCCTGTGATGTTAGGAGTAACATCCTCGTAGAACATTATGAATAATATCGCTGGCTGTTTACATACATGGGGTACACATCCTATGACATTAGAAGTAACATCACCCAAGATATTACAAAGAATATCACAGAAGGTGTACACACATAGTGTACACCCCTTAAGATATTAGCAGTAACATCCCTCTAGAATATTACAAATAATAACACAGGACGTGTGCACACCCGGTGTACACCTCCTGTGATATTAGGAGTAAAATCTCACTAACGTATGATGAATAATATGACAGGTGGTGTACACACACGGTGTACACACCCTGTGACATTAGAAGTAACGTCCACGTAAGATACTACAAATAATATCACAGGGGTGTACACATATGGTGTACAACCCCTGTGACATTAGGAGAAACATCTACCTAGCATATTACGAATAATATCGCAGGGCGTGTACACACATGGTATACAACCCCTGTGACATTAAGAGTAACATCCCTTTAAAATATTAGGAATAATATCATTAACATAATAAGATTAATAATAAGATTAACATCCCCCTAAGATATTACAAATAATATCACCGGGGTTGTACACAGACAGTATGCAAGCCATGTGACATTAGGAGTAACATTCTCCTAGGTTATAAGGAATGATATCATTCCCTGTGGTGTACACACATGGTTTACAACCCCTGTTTAATAGGAGTAACATCCACCAAAATATTAGGGATAATATCCCCCTAGCATATTACTTTCACTCACGTCTGTGGGAAGAGACCACCAAACAGGCTTTGTGTGATCAATAAAGCTTTTTAATCACCTGGGTGCAGGCGGGCTGAGTCTGAAAATAGAATCAGCAAAGGGAGATAGGGGTGGAGCCGTTTTATAGGATTTGGGTAGGTAGTGGAAAATTACAGTCAAAGGGGGTTGTTCTCTGACTGGCAGGGGTGGGGGTCACAAGGTGCGCAGTGAGGGAGCTTTTGAGCCAGAATGAGCCAGGAGAAGGAATTTCACAAGGTAATGTCATCAGTTAAGGCAGGAACAGGCCATTTTCACTTGTTTTTGTGATTCTTCAGTTACTTCAGGCTATCTGGATGAATAGGTGCAGGTTTGGGCTCAGAGGCCTGACAATTACTAATGATATCACAGGGGTTGTACACACGTTATACAACCCGCATGACATTAAAGGTAAAATCCACAGAGGTTTTTACGAATAATATAACACGGAGTGTACACACATAGTGTACACCCTAAGTTGCATTAGGAGTAACATATCCCTAGGATGTTATGAATAATATTACAGGGTGTGTACACATATGCTGTACACTCCCTGTGACATTAGGAGTAACACCCCCTTAGGATACTATGAATATTATCATAGGAGGTGTACACACATGGTGTCAATCCCTGTGACATTGTAAGTAACATCCCACTAGGATAATACAAATAATATCACAGGAGGTGTACATACATGCTGTACTCCCCCTGTAATGTTAGGAGTAACATCCCCCTAGGATATCACAAAGAATATCACAGTGTGTGCACCCCCTCTGACATTAGGAGTAACATCTCCCTAAAATATTAAGAATAATATCACAGGGTGCACACCCTCTGTGACATTAGGAGTAACATCTCTCTAGGATACTAGGAATAATATCACAGAGTGTACACTCCCTGTGACCAGAAGGTGCACACCTTCTGGTGATATTGTTCCTAATATCCATGGGGGGGGAGAAATGATATTATTCAAAATAATATTATGAAATATATTATGAAATAATGTGAAATGATATTATTCAAACCCCCCTTTGATATTGTTCCTAATAAGCGGAAGTGGAGAGGATGGTATTACTCCCAATGTCGCAGGGGTTGTACATCCGCCCTTTGATATTGTTCCTAATATCCACGGGGAAAAGAATATTACTCCCAATATTGCATGAAGTGTACACCCACTCTGTGATGTGGTTCCTAATATCCACGGGGGATGAGGATAATATTACATCCAATATCGCCGGGGGTGTACACCCCCCCGTGATAATGTTCCTAATATCCATTGAAGGAGAAAATGATATTAATCCAATAACGCAGGGGGTGTACACGCTTCCTGTGATATTGTTTTTAATATCCAGGGAGGGAGAGGATGGTATTACTCCTGATGTTCCATGGGGTGTACAGCCCCCACTGTGATGTTTTTCCTAATATCCAGGGAGAGAGAGGATGATATTACTTCCTATATCGCAGAGTGTGCACACACCGCCCCTCCATGATATTTTTTAAAATATCCAGGGAAGGAGAGTATGATATTACCCCCAATATCGCAGGGTGTGTACACTCCCCCCCATGATATTGTTCTGAATATTTAGGGAGAAGAGAATAGTGTTACTCCCAATATTGCAGTGGGTGTACACCCCCCGTGATACTGTTCCTAATATCCAGGGGGAAAGAGGATGATATTACTCCCAATATCACCAGGGATGTATATATCGCAGGGGGTGTATACACCCCTTTTGATGTTTTTTCTAATATTCAGAGGAAAAGAGAATGACATTAATCTAAATATCACAAGGGGTGTACACCCTCCATGATATTATTCCTAATATCAAAGTGGGGAGAGGATGACATTACTCCCTCGATCATGGGGAGTATATAGCCACCCTGTGACATTGTTCCTAATATTCAAAGAGAGAGAAGATAATATTACTCCCACAATTGCACGGTGTGCACAACCACCCTGTAATATTGTTCCTAATATCTGCAGGTGAGAAAATGATATTACTTCCAATATCGCAAAGTGTGTACACCCCCTCCCCGTGATACTGTTCCTAATATCCAGAGGGTGAGAGGATGACATTGCTCCCAACATCGCAGCAAATGTTCACCTTTTCTGTGATACTGTTCCTAATATCCAGCGGGGCAGCTGATGATATTAGTCCCAATACTGCAGGGGTTTTACACTTCCCCTGGGATATTGTTCCTAATATCCACTGGGGGAGAGGATGATATTACTTTCAACATCACAGGCGGTGTACACCTCCTTGCCTCGTGATATTGTTCCTAATATCTATGGGAAGAGAGGATGATGTTACTCCAATATCACAGGGGCTGTACACCCTGCCTGTGATATTTTTGCTAATATCCAATGGGGGAGATTATGATATTACTCCCAATATGCCAAAAGGTGTACACTTTGCTGTGATATTGTTCCTAATATTCACGGGGGAAGAAAATGATATTACTCAAAATACCGCAGGGGTTATACAACTCCCCTTTGATATAGTTCCTAATAAGCAGAAGTGGAGAGGATGATATTACTGCAATATCGCTGGTGTCGTACACCCGCCCTTTGATATTGTTTCTAATATCCATGTGGGAAGACGATATTACTCTCAATATCACATGAAGTGTACACCCACTCTGTGACATGGTTCCTAATATCCATGGGGGATGGGGATAATATTACATCCAATATCGCTGGGGGTGTATGCCCCCCCTGAGATATTTGTCCTAATATCCATTGGGTGAGTAAATGATATTAATCCCAATAATGCAAGGGGTATACACTCTTTCTGTAATATCCAGGGAGGGAGAGAATGGTATTGCTCCCAGTGTCCGATGAGTTGTACACCCCCCTTTGACACTGTTATTAACATCCAGGGAGAGAGAGGACGATATTACTTTCTATATCACAGAGTGTGTACACTCCCCTATATTTTTCAAAATATCCAGAGAAGAAAAGTATGATATTACTCGCAATATCGCAGGGTGTGTACATCACCCTTGTGATAATGTTCCTAATATTTAAGGGGAAAGGGAATTATATTACTCCCAATATTGCAATGGGTGTACACCTCCCCTCCGTGATACGGTTTCTAATATCCGGGGGGAAAGAGGATGATATTACTCCCAATATTGCAGGGGGTGAATATTCCCCTTGTGATGTTTTTTCCAGTATCCAGAGGAAAAGAGGGTGACATTAATCTCAGTATCCCAAAGGGTGTACACCCTCCGTGATATTGTTCCTAATATCAAAGTGGGAAGAGGATTACTTTACTCCCTCGATCACAAGGAGTGTACACCCTCCCTGTGATATTTTTTCTAGTATCCAAAGGGGGAGAAGATATTATTACTCCCACAATCGCACAGTATGTACAACCACCATGTGATATTGTTTCTAATATCCGAGGGGAGAGAAAATGATATTACTTCCAATATTGCAGGGTGTGTACAACCTCCCCCCACACCGTGATACTGTACCTAATATCCAGGGGGTGAGAGGATGACATTACTACCAATATCGCAGTGAATGTACACCTTTTCTGTGATATTGTTCCCAATATCCAGGGGGGCAGAGGATGATATTACTCCCAATATTGCAGGGGTTTTACACCTCCCCTGGGATATTGTTCTTAATATCCACTCGGGGAGAGGATGATATTACATTCTATATTGCAGGCGGTGTACATCCCCCCATGATATTGTTTCTAATATCTATGGGAAGAGAGGATAATATTACTCCCAATATCTCAGGTGCTGTACACCCTCCCTGTAATATTCCTAATATCCAAGGCGAAGACGATGGTATTACTCCCAATATTACAGAAGGTTCACACCTTCCGGTGATATTGTTCCTAATATCCATGGGAGGAGAAAATGATATTACTCAAAATATCGCAGGGGTTGTACAGTCCCCCTTTGATATTGTTCCTAATAAGCAGAAGTGGAGAGGATGACATTACTTTCAATGTCTCAGTGGTTATACACCCACTTTTTGATATTGTTTCTAATATCCACGGGGGAAGAGAATATTACTCCCAATATCACATGAAGTGTACACCCACTCTGTGATGTGTTTCCTAACATCCACGGGGGAAGAGGATATTACATCCAATATGTCACTGAGGCGTACACCCTCCCCCCACGTGATATTGTTCCTAATGTCCAGGAGAGGGGAGGGTGATATTACTCTCAATATTGCAGGGGCTGTACACCCCCGCTGTGATATTATTCCTAATATCCAAGGGGGAGAGGATAGTATTACTCCCAATATCTCAGAGTGTGTACACTTCCCAGTAATATAGTTCCTAATATCCAGGGAATCAAAGGATGATATAACTTCCAATATCACAGCAGGTGTACATCCCCCTGTAATTTTTTTTAATATCCAAAAAGGGAGAGGATGATGTTACTCCCAATATCGCTAAGTATGTACACACCCTCTGCTATATTGTCCCTAATATCCAGAATGCAAGAGGATGATATTACTCCCAATAATGCGGGGTGTACACCTTTTTCTGTGATATTGTTTTTAATATACAGAGGTGAATAGGATATTACTCCCAATATCATAGGGGGTGTACACCTCCCTGAGATATTGTTCCTGATATGCAGAGGGGGAAAGGATTTTGTTACATCCAATATCGCAGGGAGTGGACAGCCCCCCCATGATATTGTTCCTAATATCCAGTGGGGAGACAGGATGAAATTACTCTCAATATCGCGGGGACTGTACAACCCAGCTGTAACATTGTTTCTAATATCCAGGAAGGGAGAGAATATTATTTCCAATGTGCCAGGGGGTGTACACCCCTCCTGTGATATTGTTCCGAATATCCATGAGGGAGAGGATGATATTACTCCCAATATTGCAGGGGCTGTACACCTTTTCTGTGATATTGTTTCTAATGTCCGGTGGGGGGGGGCAGGATGATAACATTTCCAAAATCGCAGGAGGTGCACACCCCGCTGTGATATTGTTCCTAATCCAAACGGGTCAAGATGATATTACTCCCAGTATCAAAGAAGGTGTACACCAATCCCGTGATATTGTTCCTAATATCCAGGGGGGCGAGGATGATATTACAGCCAATATTGCAGACAGCTTACACCCCCCCCCCCGTGATATTTTTCCTAATATCCAAACGGGAAGAGGCTAATGTATTTCTTAATATTGCAGGGGGTGTACACCACCCCTGTGATATTGATCCTAATATTTAGGGGGAAATAGGATGATATTACTCCCAATATTGCAGGGGGTGTTCACACCCCTGTGTGATGTGTTGCCTAATATTCAGGGAGAAAGAGGATGATATTACCCTCAATATTGCAGGGGGTGTACCCCCCTCCGTGATATTGTTTCTAATATCCAGGAAGGGAGAGGATGATATTACTCCCAATATCACAGGAAATGTACACCCCCGATGTGATATCATTCCTAATATTCCAGAATGAGAGGATGATATTACTCCCCATATCTCAGGGGATGTACACCCCTCCTGTGGTATGGTTCCTAATGTCCAGGGAGAAAGAGGATGATATTACTCCCAATATCGCAGAGGGTGTACATCCCCCTGTAATATGGTTTTAATATTTAGAAGGAGAGATGATAATATGACTTTCAATATTTCAGGCTGTGTACACCCCTTCCATGATATTGTTCTTAATTTCCAGTGTGGAAGAGGGTGACATTACTCCCAGCATCACAAGAGGTGTACACACTTCTGTAATATTTTTCTTAATATTCAAAGGCGGAGAGGATGATATCACTCCCAAAACCGCAGGGGTTGTGCACCCCTCTGTGCTATTTTTCTAATATTCAGGGCTGAGAGGATGATATTACTTTCAATATTGCAGAGGGTGTACAACCACTGTGACATTGTTTTTAATATCCAGATGGGGAGAAAATGATATCACTCAAAATATCACGGGGGTTTACACCCCTTCTGTAATATTGTCCATAATATCCAGTTTGAGAGAAGATGATATTACTCCCAATATCGCACTGGGTAGACACCTCCCCTGTGATATTGTTCCTAATATCTCGAAGAAGAGAAGATATTATTCCCAATATATCGGGGAGTGTACACCCCCTCTTTGATATTGCTCCTAATATCTTGAGGGAAAGAAAATGATATTTCTCCCAATATCATATGGGGTGTACACTTCCCTTGTTATATTATTCCTAATATCCGGGGGGAGGAAAGATGATATTACACCCCGTTTCACAGGAAGTGTACACCACCACAGTGATATTGTTCCTAATCTCCCAGGGGGAGAGAATGATATTACTTTTATTATTGCAGGGGGTGTACACCCACCCTGTGATGTTGTTCCTAATATTGACGGGGGAAGAAAATATTACTCCCAATATCACATGGAGTGTGCACCCACCCTGTGATATTGTTCCCAGTATCCAGGGGTAAAGAGGATAATATCACACCCAATATCATCAAGGGTGCACATCCCCCACTGTGATATTGGCCCTAATATCCAGGTGGGTGCAGGATATTACTCCCAATATCGTAGGAGGTGTACACCTCTACTGTGATGTATTTTTTAATTTTCAAGGGGGGAGAGAATGATATTTCTCCCAGTATGGCAAAGAATGTACATTCCCCCAGTGATATAGTTTCTAATATCCAGAGGGTCAGAGGATGATATTACTCCCAATATTGCAGCAGATGTACAACCCCCTGTGATTTTTTTCCCTAATATTTAAGGAGGGAGAGGATGATATTACTCCCAATATCGCTGAAAGTGTACACCCCCTCTGTGATATTGTTCCTAATATCCAGAACCTGATAGGATAATATTACCCCCAATATCGCACGGGGTGTGCACACCCCTGTGACATTGTTCCTAATATCCAAGGGGAGAGAGGCTGATATTACTCCCAATATAGCAGGGGGTGTACACTCTGCCTGAGATGTTGTTCCTAATAAGCAGGGAGGGGAAGGATTTTGTTACATTTAATATCGCAGGTATGATATTGTTTCTAATATCCAGGGGGTCCAGGATGACATTACCCCGAATATTGCAGGGACTGTACCCCCTCTGTGATATTGTTTCCAATATTCAGTCGGGGAGAGGATGATATGACTCAAAATATCTTAGGGGTGTACATGCCCTGCATAATATTGTTTATATTATCCAGAAGTGGAGAGGATGATATTACTCTCAATATCAAAAAAGGTGTACACCCACCCGGCGATACTGTTTTTAATATCGAAGGGTGGAAAAGATGATATTACTCCCAATATTGCAGGGGGTCTACACCCCCTTTGTGATATTGGTCCTAATATCCAACTGGGGAAAGGATAATATTGATCTTTTCCTGTGATATTGTTCCTAATATCCAGGGGGGAGAGAATTATATTACTCCTAATATCGCAGGGATATAGGCCACCCCCGTGATATTGATCATAATATTCAGTTGGGGTAAAGGATAGTATTACTCCCAATTTCGCAAGGGGTATACACCTCCCTCGTAATATTGTCTTTAATATCCCGATTTGTAGAGGATAATATTACTCCAAATATCTTAGAGGGTGTATACCACCCCCTTTGATATAGTTTATACTATACAGGGGGAAAGAGGAAGATATTACTCCCAATATTGCAGGCAGTGTAAACCCCGCCTGTGATATTGTTTCTTATATCCAGGCAAGGAGAGAAGAATATTACTGCCAATGTTACAGGGGGTGTACACCCACGCTGTGATATTGTTCCTAATATCCAGGGGAGGAGAGAAAGATATCACTCCCAATATTCTAGGGGGTACACCTCCCCTTTGATATTGTTCCTAATATCCAAAAGGGAGAGGATATTACTCTCAATATCACAGGAAGTGTATACCCTCTCTGTGATATTGTTTCTAATATTTAGAGAAGAAGATGATGATATTACTCCCAATGTCACAAAGGGTGTACACCCCCCTGTGTTATTGTTCCTAATATCCAGGGGGGAAGAGTATGATATTATTCCCAAAATCGCAGAGGGTGTACACACCCTCTGTGATAATCTTCCTAATATCCCAGGGGGGAGAGAATGATATTACTCCTAATATCACAGGGGGTGTAGACCTCCCCTGTGACATTGTTTCTAATATCCATGGGGGGAGAAAATAATATTATTCCCAATATCCCGAGGAGTGTACACACACCCCCCCATAATACTGTTGTTAATATTCAGGATAAGAGAGGATATTACTCCAAATATCTCAGGGGGTGTACACTCCCCCTATATATTATTCCCAATATCCTGGGGGGAGAGGATGATATTACTTTCAATATCACAGGGGGTGTACACGCCCTCTGTGATATTGTTCCTAATATTCAGGAAGGGTGAGGATGATAATATTTGCAATATCACAGGGGGATATACACCCCCTGTGATATTGTTAATAATATTCAGTGGGGAAGAGGATGATATTACTCCTAATATTGCAGGCGATGTACACCCCCGCTGTGATATTGTTCCTAATACCCGGGGGGGGGAGTAGGTGATATTACCCCCCATATCGCAAAAAGTGTACACCCCGCTGTTATCTGGTTTGTAATATGAAGAAGTGGGGGTGACATTACTCCCCATATCACTCATATCGTGGAATGTGTACACCCCTCTGTGATCTGGTTTATAATATACGGGGGGGAGAGGATGATATTACACCCAATATCGCAAGGGGTACACACCCCTTTTGTGATATTGTTTGTAATATCCAGGAAGGCAGAGGATGATATTATTCTCAATATTGCAGGAAGTGCACAACCCCCCCTGTGAGGTTGTTCCTAATATCAAGGGGTGGGAGTTTGATATTATTCCCAATATCACAGGGGGCATATAACTCTCTGATATATTATTTCTACTATCCACGCGGGTAGAGGATGATATTACATTCAATATTGCAGTGGGTGTACACCTCCCCTGTAATATTGTTCCTAATTCCAAGGGGAAAGAGGATGATATTACTCCCAATATCACAAGTGCTGTACACTACCTATGTGATACTGTACCTAACATCCATGGGAAAGAGGATGATATTACTCTCAATGTTGCAGGAAGTGTACACCCCTTGTGTGATATTGTTCCTTATATTTAAGGAGGGAGAGAATAATATAATTCCCAATATCACAGGGGGTGTACACCTCCTATGTGATATTGTTCTTAATAACCAGTGGGGGAGGGGAGAACGACATTACTCTCAATATAGCAGGGGGTGTACAACTTCCCTGTGAAATTGTTTCTAATATCCAGAGAAGAAGAGGATGACATTACTCCCAATATCGCTGGGGGTCTACACCTTTTCTTTGATATTGTTTTTAATATCCAGTGGGGATATTAGGATACTACACCCAATATCGCAGGGGTGAACACCTCCCCTGTGATATTGTTCCTAATATCAAGGAAGGAGACAATATTTTTCCCAATATCGCAGGAAGTGTCCACTCTTCTTGTGATATTGTTCCTAATATCCAGGGAGGGAGAGGATGACATTACTCCCAATACTTCAGAGGGTGTACACGCCCCCTGTGATATTGTTTTCAATATCTAGGCAGGGAGAAGATAATATTACTTTTAATATTGCAGGGGGTGTACACCCCCCTTATGATATTGTTCCTAATATGCAGGGAGTGGAGAGGATAATATCACCCACCATAACGCAGTGTGTGTACACCCCTCTGTGATACTGTTTCAACTATCCAAGAGGGGGGAAGGTAATATAACTCCAAATATCGCAGGGGGTGTACAACATCCCTGGAATATTATTCCTAATATCCAAGGGGAGGAGAGGATGATATTACTCCTAATATCGCAGGGGAGATTCACCCACACTATGATATTGTTCCTAATATCCAGGGGTGAGGGGATGATGTTACTCCCAATATCGTAAAGGCTATATACCCCTCCCATGATATTGTTCCAAATATTGAGGCAGGGAGAGGATGATATTACTCCCAGTAGTGCGGGGGATGTACCCCCCCCCCGCTGTGATATTTTTTCTAATATTCATGGTGAGAGAGGATGATAGTACTCCCAATATCGCTGGGGGTGTACACCTCCCTTGTGATATTGTTCCTAACATCCAGAGGGGAAGAGGATGATATTACTGTCAATATCGTAGCAGCTGTACAAACCCCTGTGATATTGTTTCAAAATCCAGGGGGTGAGAAGATGATATTACTGTGAGTATCACAGGGGGTGTTCACTCCCACTGTGATATTATTCCTAATTTCCAGGGGGGGAAGAGGATGATATTCTTCTCATTCTTGCAGGGGGTATCACCCCTATTGTGATACTGTTTCTAATATCCATGGGGGAGAGGATTATATTATTCCCAATATCACAGGGTACTTACACCCCCATTGTGATATAGTTCCTAATTTCAAGGTGGGGAGAGGGTGATATTACTCCCAATACTGCAGCAGGTGTACAACCCCCAGATAATATTGTTTCTAAATCCAGGGGGTGAGAAGATATTTCTCCCAATATTGCACAGGGTGTACACTCACCCCCGTGATATTATTCCTAATATTTAGTGAGAGAAAGGATGATATTACTTCCAATATCACACAAAGCATACACATTCACTGTGGTATTGTTCCTAGTATCCAGGGAGGGGAGAGGATTATATTACTCCCAATATTGCTGGCGGTGTACATACCCCGTGTGATATTGTTTCTAATATCCAGAAGGGGAAAGGATGACATTACTTTCAATATCTCATGGGGTGTACACCCCCCACCCCATGTTATTGTTACTGATATCCAAGGACAAAGAGCATGATATTACTCGCACTATTGCAGGGGTTCCACACCCCGCCTGTGATATTTTTCCTTATATCCAAACAGGGAGAGGCTCCCAAAATGGGAGGATATTACTCCCAAAATGGCAAGGGGTTTACACCCCCCGTGTGATATTGTTTCTAACATCCAGGAGGGGAGAAGATAATATTACTCCCAATATCACAGGGGTTGTAACCCCCCCAGTGATATTGTTCCTAATATCCAAAAAAAGGAGAGGCTGATATTACTCCCAATATCATAGGGTGTGTACACATGCCATGTGATATTGTTCATAACATCCAGGAGGAAAGAGGATAATATTGCTCCCAATATCGCAGCTGGGGTACATCCTCCCTGTGATATTACTCCTAATATCCAGAGAGAGAGAAGGATATATTACTTCCAATATCGCTGGGAGTGTACAATTTCTCTGTAATATTGTTCCTCATATTCGGGAGGAGGGAGAAAATGATTTACTCCCAATATTGCAAGGGGTGTACACTCCCCCTGTGATATTGTTGCTAATATCCATGGGGGAAAACGAGGATAGTGCTCCGAATATCTCAGGGCGTGTACACTCATCCTGTGATATTGTTTCTAATATCCAGGTGAGGAGAGGATGATATTACTGTCAATATTTCAGAGAGTGTACAACTCACCTGTGATACCATTCCTAATATCCAGGGGAAGAGAGGGCGACATTACTTTCAATATTGCAAGGTGTGTAAACCCTAACTCTGATATTGTTTTTTGTATCCAGGGAGGGAGAGGATGATATTACTCCCAATATCGTAGGGTGTGTACACTCCCCGTGTGATATTGTTCCTAATATCCAGAAGTGGAGAGGTTGATGTTAGTCTCAGTATCGCAGTGGGTGTATACCCATCCTGTGATATTGTTCCTAATACCCGGGGTGGAGAGGATGATGTTATTCCCAATATCGCAGGAAGTGTACATTTCCCCTGTGATATTGTTCCTAATATCCAGTGAAGAGAGGATAATATTACTCCCAAAATCGCAGGGGGTGTACACCCCCTCTGTGATATTGTTACTAATATCAAAAGGGCAAAAGTATGATATTACTCCCAATATCACAGGGAATGAACACCTCCCCTGTGATATTGTTTCTAATATCCAGTTAGGGACAGGATGATATTACAAGCAATATTACAAGAGATGTACACCCCCCATGTGACATTATTTCTAATATCCAGGGGAAAAGAGCATATTACTCCTAAAATCTTGGGGATTGTACACACACCGTGTCATATTGTTCCTAATATTATAAGGTGGACAGTGTGTTATTACTCCCAATATCGTAGAAGATGTACACGCCACCTCTAACAATGTTTTTATTATACAGAAAGGGAGAGGATATTACTCCCAATATTGCAAGAGGTGTACACCCCCTTGTGATATTGTTTGTAATACCCAACAAGGGAGATAATACCACTGCCAATAAAGTGAATACATTGTGTGTACACCCCCATGTGATATGGTTCATAATATCCAGGGGGGAGAGGGTGATATTACTTCCCATATCATGGGGGGTGTACAACCCCCCATGATATGGTTTGTAATATCCAGGGAGGGAGAGGGTAGTACTCTTTTCCATATCGCGGGATGTGAACCACTCCTGTGATTTGTTTCATAATATCCAGGGAGGGAGAGGGTGATATTAATCCCCATGTCATGGGGGGTGTACACACCCCATAATATGGTTTGTAATATTCAGGAGGGAAGAGGGTGATATTAATCCCCTTATCGTGGGGGGTGTACACCCCCCTGTGATGTGGTTCGTAATATCCAGGGGGCAGAGGGTGATATTACTCCTTATATCGTGGGGGTGTACACCCCCTTGTGATATGGTTCATAATATCCAGGGGGAGAGAGGGTGATATTGCTTCCCGTATCTCAAGGAGTGTGTTATTGTTTGTAATATCCACGGGGGAAAAGGTAACATTACTCATATCATGGGGATTCTATGCCCCACTGTGATATGGTTCTAAATATCCAGAAGTGGAGAGGGTAATATTACTCCTAATATCGCGGGGGGTGTAACCACCCCATTGTGACATTGTTCCTAATATCCAGGTTGGTAGAGGATGATATTTCCCCTAATATCTCACAGATGTACACCACCGCTGTGAAATAGTTCCTAATATCCAGGAAAGTACAGGATGATATGACTCCCTATATCGCAGGTGGTGTACACCACTCTGTGATATTATTTTCAACATCTAGGAGAGGAAAATAATGATATTACTCTCAATATCAAGGGGGTTGTACACCACCTCTGTGATATTGTTTCTAATATTCTGAGGGGGGAGGATATTACTTCCAAAATGACAGGAGATGTACACTATTCCTATGATATCGTTCTTAATACCCAGGGGAGGAGGAGATAATAATACTCCCAATATCACAGTGGGTGTACACCCCCATGTGATATTCTTCCTAATATCCAGAAGTGGAGAGCATATTACTCCCAATATTGCAGGGGCTCTACATCTCCCTTATTATATTGTTTCTAATATCCATCAAATGAGAGGATATTACTCCCAATGTTGCAGGCGGTGTACACACCCCCTGTGATATGGTTTCTAATATCCTGTGGGGGAGAGGATGACAGTACTTCCAATATCTCAGGGGGAGTACGCCCCTGCTGTGATATTGTTTCTAATATCCAAAGGGTTAGAGGTTTATATTATTCTAATATCGCAGGAAGTATACACTCACCCTGTGATATATGTCCTAAAGTCCAGGGAGGAAAAGAATGATATTATATTCAATATCACAGGGGGTGTACACACTCCCTGTGATGTTCTCAATATCCAGGGGGCGAAAGGATGATGTGACTCCCAATACCGCAGAGGGTGTACACCGACCTTGTAACATTGTTCCTAATATCTAGGGCAGGAAGATGATATTACTCCAAATATTGCAGAAAATGTAAACCCTCCCTCTTATACTGTTCATAACATCCAGGAGAAGAGAAAATGAATTACTCTCAATATCGCAGGGGGTGTACATCAGCCCTGTGATATTGTTCCTAAAATCAAGAACGGGAGAGGATGACGTTGTTCCCAATGTTGCAAAAGGTGTGCACTCCTTCTGTGACATTGTTCCTAATATCCAGGGGAAAGAGGATAATATTACTCCCAATATTACAGAGGGCGTACACTCCCCCATGATACTGTTTTTAATATCAAGGAGAAAGAGAATGATTTTACTTTCTATATCGCAGGGTGTGTACACCACCCCTGTGATATTGTTTCTAATATCCAGGGGGGAGACGATAAAATTACACCAAATATCACAGGGGCTGTACACCTCTCCTGTGATATTGTTCCTAATATCCAGAGGCATAGAAAATAACATTACTCCTAATTACACAGGTGGTGTAAACCACCCCAGTGATACTGTTTCTAATATCCAGGTGGAATGAAAATGACATTACTCCCAATATCGTAGGTGGTGTACACCACCCCTGGGATATTGTTCCTAATATCCATGGAGGGAGAGGAGGCTATTACTTCCAATATCACAGAGGGTGTACAACTCCCTTGTGATATTTTTCTTAATATCCGGGGGGGGGAGAAAATGATATTACTCCCAATATCACAGGTCGTGTAAATCCCCCCCACCGTGATATATTTACTAATATCCAAGTGGGAGAGGTTGCTATTACTTCCAATATCGCAGGGGTTGTTCACTCCCCTTGTGATATTGTTCCTTTTATCCAGGGGGACAGTCGAGGGTATTACAAACAATGTCCCCAAAAGTGTATACCCCCCACCCTATGATATAGTTCCTAATATAAGGGGGTGAGAGAATTATATTACTCCCTATATCGCAGGGGATGTACACTCTCCCTGTGATATTGTCCCTAATATTGAGGGGGAAAGAGGATGTTATAACTCCCAATATTGCAGAAGGTGTACACCCCTCCCCTGTGATATTGTTTCTAATTCCAGTGGGGGAGAGTATGATACTACTCCCAATATCGTAGGGGTTGTACACTTCGCTTATGATATTGTTTCTAATATCCATGGGGGTGACAATGATATTACTGTCAATATCCTAAACAGTGTACACCCACAATATGATATTGTTCCTAATATCCATGAGTGGAGAGGATATTACTTCCTATATTGCAGGGGGTGTACACCCAACCTGTGATATTGTTTTTAATAACCAAGGGAAGAGAGAATATTACTCCTAGTAATGCAAAGAATGTATACTTCTCCTTTGATATTGTTTCTAATATACAGGGCGGGAGAGGATGATTATACTCCCAATATCACAGGGGGTGTAAAGCACCCTGTGATATACTTCCTAATATCCAGAAGAAAAGAGGATGACATTACTCCCCGTATCGTAGAGTGTGTACACCCTTCTGTGATATTGTTCCTAGTATGCAAGGAGGGAGAGGATGACATTACTACCAATATCGAAAGGGGTGTACACCCTCCCTGTGATATTGTTCTGTACATCCAGGGGAAAGAGGATAGTACTCCCAATATCGCAGAAGGTGTACACCCCCTTTGTCATATTTTTCCTAGTACCTCAGGGTGAGAGGATAATATTACTCCCAATTTTGCAGGAGGTATACACATTCCCTGTGATATTGTTCCTAATATCCAGGGGAAACAGAATCATATTATTCCCAATATCGAAGGATGTGTACACCCCTCCGTGATATTGTTCTTAATATGCAGGTGGGGATATGTTAAATTACTCCAAATACTGCAGGGGCTGGAAACCCATTCTGTGATATTGTTCCTAATATTTAGAGGGTGGAAATAATATTGCTCCCAATATCGCAAGGGGTGTACATCCTCCCTGTGTTATTGTTCCTACTATCCAGAGGGAAGAGAGGATGATATTACTCCAAATATCACAGGAAGTGTACACCCCCCCTTTGATATTGTTCCTAATATTCAGTAGAGGAGAGGATGGTATTACTCTCAATATCGTAAAGGGTGTACAACCCTCTCATGATATTGTTCCTAATATCCAGGGGGAAAGAGGATGATGTTACTCCCAATATCGTGGATGTGTACACCCCCTGGTGATACACTTCTTAATATCCAGAGGAGGAGAGGATGATATTACTCCCAATATCGCAGGGAGTTTACATGCCTCTGTGATATTGTTTCTAATATTTAGGTGGGAAGAGAATATTACTCCCAATATCGTAGGTGGTGTACACCCCAAGTGTAATATACTTTCTAATATCCAGGGGGGAGAGGATGATATTACTCCCAATATCGCATGAGCTGCACACGCTTCCCCCCGTGATTTTCTTCCTAATATCCAGGTGGAAAGAGGATTATATTACTCCCAATATCGCAGGGGCTGTACAACCTTCCTGTGATATTGTTTTTAATGCTCAGGTGGAGAGAGGATGATATTACTTACAATATCACTGGATTTGTACACACCATCCTGTGATATTCTTCCTAATATCCAGGACAGGAGAGTTTGATATTACTCCAAATATCGCAAAGGATGTATATTGTTCTTAACATTTAGGGAGCAGAAGATAATAAAACTCCTAATATCACAGTGGCTGTCCACCCCTTTTGTGATATTGTTCCTAATATCCGGAAGAGAAGCAGAAGATATTACTACCAACATCTCAGGGAATGTACACATTTCCTTGTGATATTGTTCCTAATATGCAGGGGAAGAGAGGATGACATTAGTCGCAAAATCGCAAGGGGTGTACACCTGGCCTGTGATATTTCTTCTATGTCAAGGGGAAGGAGTAGGATGAAATTACACCCAATATTGTAGTAGTTGTACACCCCCACCCCGGGGTGATGTTGTTTCTAATATCCAAAAGGCCGAATACATTACTTCCAATATCATAAACACCTTGAGTGTACACCGCCTGTGATATGGTTCTTAATATCCAGGGGGTGAGAGGGTGATATTACTCCCCATATCACGGGAGGGGGGAATACCCCTGTGATATTGTTCGTAATATCCAGGGATGGAGAAGGTGATATTACTCCCCATATCACGGTGTGTACACCCCCCGTGATATGGTTCATAATGTCCATGGGAAAAGAGGGTGATATTACTCCCCATATCGCAGAGGGGTGTACACCCCCCTGTGATGTGGTTTATAATATCCAGGGTGGGGAGAGTAGTATTAATCCCTATATCATGAGGGGTGTACACCTTCTTGTGATATGATTCGTAATATCCAGGGGGAGAGGGTGATATTACTCCCCATATTGCAAGGGGTGTGATATGGTTCATAATATCCAGGGGTGGAGAGAGTGATATTACTCCCAATATCGCGAGGGGTGTATCACCGTCCGCTTGTGATATTGTTCCTAATATCCGGGGGGGGCGGTGAGGATGAAATTATTCCCAATATCACACAAATGTACACCACCACTGTGATATAGTTCCTAATATCCAGGAAAACAGAGGATGATATGACTCCCTATATCACAGGGTGTGTACAACCCTGTGTGATATTGTTTCTAATATCCAGGAAAAGAAAAGAATGATAAGAATGATATCACTCCCAATATTGAGAAGAGTGGACACCTACCCCCCGTTATATTGTTTTTAATATCTGGGGAGGAGGATATTTCTCCCAAAAATCACAGGGGATGTACACCATTCCTGTGATATTGTTCCTAATATTCAGGAGAGGAGGAGATGATAATACTCCCACTATTGCAATGGGTGTACACCCCCATGTGATATTGTTCCTAATATCCAGAAGTGAAGAGCATGATATTACTCCCAATACCGCAGTGTCTGTACATCCCTCCTGCTATTTTATTTCTAATATTGTGATATTTCTAACAATTGTGATATTGTTCTTAATATCCAGGTGGGGAACAAGAGGATAATACTACTTCCAATATTGCAGGGGGTGTACACACCCCTGTGATAAGGTTTCTAATATCCTGTGGGTGAGAGAATGATAGTACTTCCAATATCTCAGAGGTGTACACCCCTGCTGTTATTTTGTTTCTAATATCCAAAGGTTTAGAGGCTTATATTATTTCAATATCACAGGAAGTGTACACCCACGCTGTGATATATATCCTAAAGTCCAGGGAGGAAAAGAATGATATTACTTTCAATATCCCAGTAATGTGATATTACTTTCACATTCCCTGTGATATTATTCTCAATGTCCAGGGAGAGAGAGTGATATGACTTTCAGTATCGCAGGGGCTGTACACCCCCCTTGTAATATTGTTCCTAATATCCAGGGCAGGGAGAAAATATTACTCCAAATATTGCAGAAAATGTAAAAACCCTCCCTCTTACATTGTTCGTCATATCCAGGGGAAGAGAGAATGATATTACTCTCAATATCACAGAGGGTGTACACCAGCCCTGTGATATTGTTCCTAAAATCAAGGAGGGGAGAAAATGACATTACTTTCAATATCGCAAAAGGTGTACACTCCTTCTATGATATTGTTCCTAAATCCAGGGGAAAGAGGATGATATTACTCCCAATACCGCAAAAGGCATACACCACCCCTGTGATATTGTTCTTAATATCCATGGGAAGAGAGGATGATATTGCTCCCAATATCACAGGGGGGCATACACCCCCCTGTGATATTGTGTTTAGTATCAAGAGGAAATAGAATGACATTACTCCCTATATCGAAAGGTGTGTACACCACCCCTGTAATATTGTTCCTAATATCCAGGGGGAAGATGATAAAATTACTCCAAATATCACAGGGGCTGTACACGTCTCCTGTGATATTGTACCTAGTATCCAGGGCAGGAGAAAATAACATTACTCCTAATTACACACGTGGTGTACACCACCCCGTGATATCGTTTCTAATATCAGGGGGAGAGAGGATGCTGTTACTCCCAATATCGCAGGTGGTGTACACAATTCCTGTGATATTGTTCCCAATATCCAGGGAGGGAAAGGATGCTATTACTCCCGGTATCGCCAAGGGTGTACAACCTCCTTGTGTTATTGTTCTTAATATCCGGGTGGGGAGAAAATTATATTACTCCCAATATCACAGGTCGTGTACATCCCCCCCTGTGATATATTTACTAACATCTGGTAGGGAGAGGATGATATTACTCCCAATATCGTGGCGGTTGTTCACCACCCTTGTGATTTTTTTCCTATTATCCAGGGGGACAGACGAGGGTATTATGAACAATATCCCCAAAAGTGTACACCCCCCAATCCTGTGATATAGTTCCTAATATAAGGGGGTGAGAGAATTATATTACTCCCTATATCACAGGGGGTGTACACTCTCCCTGTGATATGGTCCCTAACATCAAGGCGGAAAGAGGACGTTATTACTCCCAATATCGCAGAAGGTGTACACCCCTCCCCCATGATATTGTTTCTAATTCCAGTGGGGGAGAGGATGATATTACTCCCAATATAGTAGGCGTTGTACACTTCGCTTGTGATATTGTTTCTAATATCCATGGGGGTGACGATATTACCATCAATATCCTAAAGAGTGTATACCCACAATATGATATTGTTCCTAATATCCAGGGGTGGAGAGGATGATATTACTTCCTATATCGCAGGGGGTGTACACCTCATCTGTGATATTGTTTTTAATACTCCAGGGAAGAGAGGATGATATTACTCCAAATATCACAAAGAATGTACACCCATCCTGTGATATTGTTCCTAATATACAGGGCGAGAGAGGATGATTTTACTCCCAATAGCGCAGGGGGTGTACATCCCCCGTGATATTCTTCCTAATAACCAGAAGGAAAGAAGATGAAATTGCTCTCAATATTGCAGGGTGTGAACACCTCTTCTTTGATATTGTTCCTAGTATCCAGGGAGGGACAGGATAATATTACTACCAATATCGAAGGTGGTGTGCACCCCCCTGTGATATTGTTTGGTACATCCAGGGGAAAGAGGATGATATTACTCCCAATATCGCAGAGGGTGTACATCCCCTTTGTGATATTGTTCCTAATACCACGGGGGTAGAGGATGATATTACTCCCAATATTGCAGGAAGTGTACACATTCCCTCTGATACTGTTCCTAATTTCGAGGGGAAAGAGAGTTATATTACTCCCAAAATCAAAGGATGTGTACACCCACCCATGATATTGTTTCTCATATCCAGGTGGGGATATATTAAAATTACTACAAATATTGCAAAGGCTGGAAACCCATTATGTGATATCGTTCCTAATACCTATGGGGGGAATAATATTACTCCCAATATGGCAAGGGGTGTACATCCCCCCTATGATATTGTTCCTAATATCCAGAGGGGGGAGAGGATGATATTACTCCCAATATTGCAGGGAGTGTATACCTCCCCTTTGCTATTGTTCCTAGTATTCAGTAAAGGAGAGGATGGTATTAATCTCAATATCATACAGCGTATACAACCCTGTTGTGATATTGTTCCTAATATTCAGGGGGAAAGAGGATATTACTCCCAAATCGGGGGTGGATATACTCCCAATATTGTGAATGTGTACACCCCCCAGTGATATATTTTCTAATATCCAGAGGAGGAGAGGATGATATTACTCCCAATATCTCAGAAAGTTTACACCTCCTCTGCGATATTGTTCCTAATATCTAGGTGGGAAGAGAATATTACTCCCAATATCGCAGGGACTGTACACCTCAAGTTTACTATACTTCCTAATATCCGATGGGGAGGATGATATTACTCCCAATATCACAGGAACTGTACACCCCCGCTGTGATATTGTTCCTAATACCCAGGTGGAAAGAGGATTATATTACTCCCAATATCGCAGGGGCTGTACAACCTTCCTGTGATATTGTTTTTAATGTTCAGGCGGAGAGAGGATGATATTACTTAAAATTTTGCCGGATTTGTACACACCACCCTGTGATATTCTTTCCAATATCCAGGAGAGGAAAGTTTGATATTATTCCAAATACCCCAAAGGGTGTACAACCCGCTTGTAATATTGTTCTTAACATTTAGGGAGCAGAAGATAATATAACTCCCAATATCACAGTGGGTGTCCACCCCTTCTGTGATATTGCTCCTAATATCCAGAAGAAAAGTGGATGATATTACTCCCAATATATCAGGGAATGTACACACCCCCTTGTGATATTGTTTCTAATACGCAGGGGAAGAGAGGATGACATTAATCTCAACATTGCAGGGGGTGTACACCCCACTGTGATATTTTTCCTATATCAAGGAGAAGAGGGAGAATGAAATTACGCCCATTATCATAGTGGCTGTATGCCCCCAGCCAGGGTGATGTTGTTTCTAATACCCAGAGGGCACAATATATTACTTTCAATATTGTAAATACCTGGAGTGTACACCCCCTGTGATATGGTTCTTAATATCCAGGAAGGGAGAAGGTGATATTACTCCACATATCACAGGGGATGTGCAACCCCCTGCGATATGGTTAATATCCAGTGGGGAGAGGGTGATATTATTCCCCATATTGCAGGGGATGTACACCCCCTGTGATATGGTTCATAATATTCAGGGATGGAGAGGGTGATATTACTCCCCATACTGCAGGGGTTGTACAAACACCTGTGATACGGTTCGTAATATCCAGGAGGGAAGAGGATGATATTACTCCCTACATTGGGGGGGTGTACACCCTCCCTGTGATATGGTTCATAATATCTATGGGGGTATAGGGTGATATTACTCCCCATATTGCAGGGGGCATACACCCTTCTGTGATATGGTTTGTAATATCCAGGGGGGGAGAGGGTGATATTACTCCTCACATCGAGGGAGTTGTTCACTCCCCTGTGATACGGTTCATAATATCTGGGGTGGAGAGGGTGACATTACTCCCGAAATCACCGTGGGTGTAACCGTTCCCTTCTAATATTGTTCCTAATATCCATGTGGGAAGAGGATGATATCATTCCTAATATCGCACGGGTGTACACCATAGCTGTTATATTGTTCCTACTATCCAGGGAAGGAGAGGATGATATGACTCTCTGTATCGCAGGGGGTGTACACAATATCGCAGGGGGTGTTTCTAATATCCAGGGGAAGAAAAGCATGATAGTACTCCCAGTATCGAGGGTGGTGTACACACCCCCCTGTTATATTGTTCCTAATATCTGGGGGAGGGGTGGATATTACTCCCAAAATCACAGAGGATGTACACCATTTCTGTGACATTGTTTCTGATATCCAGGTGTGGAGAAGATAATACTCCCTATATCGCAGTGGGTGTACAACTTCATGTGACATTGTTCCTAATATCCAGAGGTGGAGAGCATGATATTACTCCCAATATCGCAGGGGCTGTACATCCCCCCTGATATATTGTTTTTACCATCCACGGAATGAGAGGATAATATTACTCCCAATATTGCAGGGGGTGTACACATTCCTGTGATATGGTTTCTAATATCCTGCGAGGGAGAGGATGACAGTACTTCCAATATCTCAGGGAGTGTACACCACTGCTGTGATACTGTTTCTAATATACAAAGGATAAGAGGCTCATATTATTCCAATGTCACAGGAAGTGTACACCCACCCTGTGATATATTTCCTAAAGTCCAGGGAGGAAAAGAATGGTATTACTTTCAATATCGCAGGGTGTGTACACACTTCCTGTGATATTGTTTTCAATATCCAGTGGGACAGTGGGTGATATGACTCCCAATATCGCAGGGGGTGAACACCTCCCTTGTAACTTTGTTCCTAATATCCAGGGCAGGGAGATGATATTTCTCCAAATAGTGCAGAAAGTGTAACCCCTTCCCTCTAATATTGTTCGTAATATCCAAGGGAAGAGAGGATAATATTACTTTCAATATCGCAGAAGGTGTACACCAGCCGTGTGATATTGTTCCTGAAATCAAGGAGGGGAAAGGATGACATTACTCCCAATATTGCAAAAGGTGTACATTCCTCCTGTGACATTCTTCCTAATATCCAGGGGAAAGAGGATGATATTACTTTCAATACTGCAAAAGCTGTACACCCCCCTGTGATATTGTTCTTAATATCCATGGGAAGACAGGATAATATTACTCCCAATATCACAGAGGGTGTACACACCCCTACTATATTGTTTTAATATCAATGTGAAAGAGAATAATATTACTCCCTATATCGAAGGGTGTGTACACCACACCTGTGATATTGTTCCTAACATCCAGTGGGGGGAGATAATAAAATTACTCCAAATATCACAGGGGCTGTACCCCTCTCTTGTGATACTGTTCCTAATATCCAGATGGGGACAAAATAACATTACTCCTAATTACGCAGGTGGTGTACACCACCCCAGTGGTATTGTTTCTAATATCCAAGGGGAAAGAGGATGATATTACTCTCAATATCGCAAGTGTTGTACACAACCCCTGTGATATTGTTCCTAATATCCAGGGAGGGAAAGAATGCTGTTACTTCCAATATCGCAGAGGGCATACAAACACCTTGTAATATTGTTCTTAATACCCGGGGGCGGGGGGGAGAAAATGATATTACTCTCAATATCACAGGTCGTGTACATCCCCCACTGTGATATATTCACTAATATCCGAGGGGGAGAGGATGATATTACCCCCAATATCGTAGGGGTTGTACACCCCACTTGTGATATTGTTCCTGTTATCCAGGGGGACAGACAAGGGTATTACGATCAAGATCCTAAAAATTGTACACCCCCCACCCTGTGATATAGTTCCTAATATAAGGAGGTGAGAAGATGATATTACTCCCTGTATCGCAGGGGGTGTACACTCTCCCTGTGATATTGCCCCTAATAGCGAGGGGAAAAGAGGACGTTATTACTCCCAATATCACAGAAGGTGTACACCCCTCTCCCATGATACTGTTTCTAATTCCAGTGGGGGAGAGGATGATACTACTCCCAATATCGTAGGCATTGTACACTTCGCTTGTGATATTGTTTCTATTATCCATGGGGATGATGATGATATTACTGTCAATAGAGTGTATACCCACAATATGATATTGTTCCTAACATCTGGGGAGGGGGGAAGGATGATATTACTTCCATTATCACAGGAGGTGTACACCTCACCTGTGATATTGTTTTTAATATCCAACTGAAGAGAGAATGATTTTACTTCCTACCAATATCTCAAAGAATGTACACCCCTCCTGTGATATTGTTCCTAATATACAGGGCGGGAGAGGATGATTTTACTCCCAATATCGCAGGGGGTGTATGGCCCGCTGTGATACGGTTTGTAATATCCGAGTCAGTGGGAGAGCATAATATTATTTCCCACATCGCAGCGGTGTCCACCCCACTGTGATATGGTCCATAATATCCGGGGGGAGAGGGTGATATTACTCCACATATCGCAAGGGGTGTGATATAATTTCTAATATCTAAGGAGTGGAGAGGGTTATATTACTCCCTTTATAGCAAGGGGTGTACACACTCTGTAATATGGTTCGTAATATCAACGGTGGGGTGAGTGTGATACTACTCCCCATATTGCGGGTGGTTTACACCCCCTTGTGATATGGTTTGTAATATCTAGCGGGGAGGGTATATTACTCCCCATATCATGGGGTGCGTACACCCCTCTGTGATATGGTTCATAATATTCGGGGGAGAGAGGGTGACATTACTCCCCCATATTGCGGGGATATTGTTCTTATTATTCAGGGGGGAAGATTGTATTTCCCTCTACATTGTAAACACCCTGTCTGTCTGTACAACCTCCGTGATATTGCTCGTAATATCCAGGAAGGAGAGGATGATATTACTCCCAATATCTCAGGGTGTGTACACCTGCCTGTGATATAATGTTCGTAATCTCCAGGCAGGAGAAGATGATATTAATCCCATCATTGCAGGGCGTGTACATTCCCCTGTCATATTGTTTGTAATATTTAAAAGTGAGAGGATAATATTACTCCCAATATCGCAGGGGGTGTACACTCTCCTGTGATATTGTTCATAATATCCAGGAGGGGAGAAGATTATATTACTCCCAATCTTGCAACGGGTGTAAATCCATCTGTGATATTGTTTGTAATATCCAGGGGGGAAGAGGATGATATTACTCCCAATATCGCAGGGGGTGTACATCCCCGTGTTATATTGTTCATAATATCCAAGTGGAGAGATGATATTACTCCCAATATTATAAACACCCTATGTGTACACCCTCTGTGATATTGTTTGTAATTTCCATGGGGGGAGAGGATGATATTATTCTCAACATAACAGAGGATGTCCACCTCCCTGTGATAATGTTTGTAATATCCTGGGATGAGAGGATATTACTCCCAATATCACCTGGTGTGTACACCCGCCTGTTAAACTGTTCATAATATCCAAGGGGGTAGAGGATGATAATACACCCAATAATTCAGGGGGTATACACTTTTATGAAATACTGTTCATAATATCCAGGGGAGGAGAGGATAATATTACTCCTAATATTGCAGGGGTTGAACTCCTTTCTGTGATACTGATCATGAAATCCAGAAGGGGAGATGATATTACTAACAATATCATAAACACCCTGTGTGTACACCCTCAGTGGTATTGTTCATAATGTTCAGCTAAGGACAGTTTGATATTACTTCCAATATCGCAGGGAGTGTACATCCCCTGTGATGTTGTTCATAATATCCAGGAGGGAAGACTATGATATTATTTGCAATATTGCAGTATGTGTACACCCCCTTGTGATATTTTTCACAATATCCAAAAAGGGAGAGGATGATATTACTCCCAATATCACATGGGGTGTATTCCCCACTGTGATATATTTGGTAATATCAAGGAGGGGAGAGGATTATATTACTCCCAATATCACAGGAGATGTAAAATGCCCTGTAATATTGTTCTCAATATCCAGGAGAGAGACAGGATGCTATTTCTCCAAATATCACAGGGGGTGTACATCCCTTTGTGATATTGTTCAGAATATTTAAAGAAGGAGAGGATGATGTTACCCCCAATATTGCAGGGAATGTACAACCCCCCGTGATATTGTTCAGAATATCCAGGAGAGGAGAGGATGATATTACCCCCAATATCGCAGGGGATGTACACCCTCATGTGTCATTGTTGGGAATATCAAGGGGGAGAGGATGATATTACTCCAAATATCGCAGGGGTTGTACACCTCCCATTGATATTGTTCAGGATATCCAGGGAGGAAAAAAAGATATTACTCCTAATACCGCAGAGGGTGTACAACTCCCTGTAATATTGTTCAGAATATTTAAGTGGGGAGAGAATAATATGACTCCAAATATTGCAGGGTTCTACGTCCCCATGGTATATTGTTTGGAATATCAAGGGGGAAGAGGATGATATTATTCTTAATATCGCAGAAGCTGTGATATTGCTTGGAATACCAGGTGGGGAGAGGATAATATTACTCCAAATATCACAGGAGCTGTACAACCCTCTGTGATATTGTTCAAAATAACCAGGGGAGATGACGATATTACTCCCGATATCACCGGGGTATACACCTCTTTGTGATATTGTTCAGAATATTCAGAAGGGTAGAGGATGATATTACTCTCAATATCACAGGGGGTATATACCCCATTGTGATATTGTTAATAATATCCAGGGTGGAGAGGATAATATTACTTCCAGTATTGCAGTGGGTTTACACTCCTCTGTCTTATTGCTCGAAATATCCAGGGGGGGAGATAATGTTACTTCCAATATAGCATTGGATGTAAAACACCTGTGATATTGTTCAAAATATACAGGGGGGAGAGGGTGATATTACTTTCAATATCATAGGGGATGTACACCTCTTTGTGATATTGTTCAGAATATTCAGAGGAAGAGAGGATTATATTACTGTCAATATCGCAGGAAGTGTACATCCGCCTGTGATATTGTTTGGAATATTCAGGATGGAGAGGATCATATTACTTTCAATATCGCAGGAGGTGTACAACCACCTGTGATATATTTCCGAATATCCAGAGGGGAGAGGATGATAATACTCCCAATATCACAGGGGGTGTACACCTCCCTGTGATATTGTTCAGAATATCCAGGCAGGGAGAGGTTGGTATTACTTCTGATATCACAGGGGGTGTACACTCCTTTGTGATATTGTTAACAATATCCAGGAGGGAAGAAGATATTACTTTCAATATCGCAGGGGTTGTACACTACCCTCTGACGTTGTTTGGAATATCCGGAGGGAAGAGGATAACGTTACTCCCAATATAGCAGGGCGTGTACACTCCCCTGTGATATTGTTAATAATATCCAGAGGAAGACAGGATTATGTTACTCCCAATATCACAGGGAGTGTTCACCCCCCAGTGATATTGTTCGTAATTTCCAGAAAAGGTGAGGATAATGTTATACCCAATATCGTAGGGTTGTACACTCCCCTGTGATATTGTTTGTAACATTCAAGGCGAAAGAGGATGATATTACCCCCAATATCGCAGGGAGTGTATACCCCCCTGTTATAATGTTCGTAACATTAAGATGGGGAGAAGATAATATTACTCCCAATATCGCAGGGGGGTGTACAACCCTATGATATTGGGTTTGTAATATTCGAGGGGGAGAGAATTACATTACTCCCAATATCACAGGGGCACCCCTGTGATATTGTTCGCAATATCCAGGGAGGGAAATGATGACATTACTTCCAATATCGCTGGGGGCGTACACTTCCCTGTGATACTGTGTGTCATATCCAAGGGAAAAAAAGATGAAATTACTCCCAATAGTGCAGGAAAGTACACCCCCCTGTGATATCGTTCATAGTATCCAGGGGGAGCGTGGATAGGATGACATTACTCCCAATATCGCAGAGGGGGTACACCCTCCTGTGATATTGTTTGTAATATCCAGTGGGGGAGAGGATGATATTACTGCCAATATCGCAGAGAATGCACACACCCTGTCATATTGTTCTTAATATACAGGGGGAAGAGGATGACGTTATTCCCAATATCTCAGGGGATGTACACCCCTCTGTGATTTTGTTCATAATGTTCATGGGGGGAGAGGATGACATGACTGCCAATATCACAGGATCATACACCTCCCTGTTATATTGTTAGTAATATCTAGGGGGGAGAAGATGACATTACTGTCAATATCGTAGGGGGTGAACAACCCCTGTGATATTCTTCATAATATCAATCAGAGGAGATGATATTACTCTTAATATCGTAAACACCCTGTGTGTACACCCACTGTGACATCGTTTGTAATATCCGGGGGGGGGAATGATATTACTCTCAATATCATGGGGGGTGTACACCCCAATGTGATATTGTTTGTAATATCCAGGGGACGAGAGGATGATATTATTTCCAGTATCACAGGGAGCATACACCCCCTGTGATACTGTTCATAATAACCAGGGTGGGAGAGGATTATATTACTTTCACTATCACAGGGTGGGTACACTCTTGTGTGATATTGTTCATAATATCCAGGGGAAACGAGGATGGTATTACTTTAAATATTGCAGGGGGGTTATAACCCCCTCTGATGTTGCTAGTAATGTCCAGGTAAGGAGAGGATATTACTTCAAATATCACAGGGGTTGTCCATTCCCCTGTGATATCGTTTGTAATATTACTCCCAATATCGCAGGGGTGTACACCCCCCTGTGATATTGTTCTTAATAACCCGGAAGGGAGAGGATACTATTACTCTCAATATCGCAGGGGGTGTACACCCCTTTGTGATATTGATCAGAATATCCAGGGGTGTAGAGAATGATATGACTCCCAATATCGCATGAGGTGTACACCACTTTGTGATATTGTTCAGAATATTCAGAAGGGGAGAGAATGATATTATCCAAATATCCCAGGGGATATAGAACCCCCTGTGATATTGTTCGGAATATCCAGTGGAGAGAGAATGATAGTACTCCCAATATCGCAGAAGGTGTACACCTTCCTGTGATATTGTTCGGAATATCCAGGCGGAGAGAGAATATTACTCCCAACATCCCGGAGGGGAAAGGATGATATTACTCCCAATATCTCAGGAAGTGTGCGCCCACCTGTGGTATTGTTTGTAATATCATTGGGGAAAAGATGATGTTACTTCCAATATCGCAGGGGGTGTACACCCCCCTGTGATACTGTTTGTAATATCCAGGAAAGGAGAGTTCGATATTACTCCTAATATCCTAGAATGTGTACACTTCCTTGTGATATTGTTCATAATATCCAGGGGGAAGAGGATTATATTACTCCCAATATCACAGGGGGTGTACACCCCCCTGTGATATTTTTCATAATATCCAGGGGGAGAGAGGATGACATTACTTTCAATATTGCAGAAGGTGTACACTTCCCTGTGATAGTGTTCGTAGTATCCAGTAGAGGGGATGATAATATTACCCCCAATATTGCAGACAGCGTACACCCCGCTCTGGTATCATTCGTAATGTCTAGCGGAAGATAGGATGATATTACACAAAATATCATTGGGGGTGTCCACCTCTCAGTGATATTGTTCCTAATATTCAGTGGGGAAGAGGATGATATTACTCTTAATATCACAGGGGGTGTATACCCTTTTGTGATATTGTTCCCAATATCCAGAGGGGGAGGATAATATAACTCCCAATAGCGCAGGGTGTGTGCACCCCCTGTGATATTGTTCAAAATATCCAGGGAGGGGAAAGGATATTACTTGCAATATCGCAGAGGGTG